>NC_000004.12:130739562-131042593 GCF_000001405.40 Homo sapiens | reverse complement strand
TCCCATGCTGTAGATTTGCATCTAAGTCTGGGATGGAGGATGATGTTTAAGTGCTGTCATGGTTTCAGAGAAACACTAGTGTTTTCTTTGATGTTGTATGGTAACAGAAGCTCCTACTGATCATCCAGTACTCATCTGGTTCTAAGCTGGTGGTCCCCAAAGTTGGCTAAATACTTTCCCTTCATTTCTGTTTCATGGGCCTTTCAGGCCTGGAAACTATTTCTTCTATGTTGATGCTATGTTGGAATATGCTAGAATGGTCCCACTGCAGGCCCCAAGAAAGTTAAACATAAAACTCACCAGGCTATGATGCTTTTTGAGGCCTTTCCTGCCTGTACACCCAGACATTATTTCAATTTTGTTTATCCCAACTTTCCTTAGTCTCTACTTGGAAAATTTGTCATGTAACCTTTCTGTATTCAGAGCTGGGTTGTCAAAGTAATTAGAGGTGTTTGCCTAATTGCAGACCTACTGTGGGATACAGAGTATTGAGTTCAATTTTAAAATATTCACAACTTTCCCTTCTACCAATCCCTCAAAACGCCCAAAGTAGAAATTATTCTTTCTAGTTAGAAAAATGGGAAAAGCCTGCTTATACTTATGATGTGTCTTTCAGGACTTTGATCTCTCAATTGCTGTAATGGCTTAGGTTTTCTAATCATAAAAGTCAAAGAAAGACACTTTCTTTCTATTATTTGTGATACACCATCCTTTGAATTTGGGCACATAAAAGCATATCTACTTGAATAAGAGGAAGAGAAAAATATTTTCCTAAAGGGAAAAACAATTTTAGAATAAAAATAATCTCTAGTTAAAAATGTCAAAGACATGCCTAAGAGTAACATATAAAAATGAAAAAGAGTAACATACAAAAATAAAAAAGTGTAAAAGGAAAGGTGAATTATTTTATCCCCAATAACTGGAAAATTATATACATAAAATAAAGACGATGTTAATTGAGAGACTAGAAAAAGATATTATGTTAAATATGATATAAAATATTAATATTTTAATATAAACATTTTTCTACAATTATATAAAGAAAAGAAAAACTGGAAAATTAAGGGACAGTCATACAAAATCAATTTAATAAATAAATAATAAGTGCAGAGTGTTTTTAAACACAGTAATCATCAAACAAATTAACTATACATAACTTTTAATTACTTATTAGTTTGACAAAGGCTGAAAAAGACTATATATACCTTGGGGATATGAGGGTATAAAAAAAATCAGACCCACTTATATGGTTCTGGATATATATGAAGACTGCTATACTATTTTTAGGACAACTTAATCATATCTATATCTCTATAGAATATATGCATACACTGCTTTATAAATCTGACTTTAGTTATACAATATTATCTAATGTATTAATTTATAGTTGTTCAATCTATACATATAAGTCACACAGTTATGAGAGCTAAAATTAAAGTATCCTGCATTAGGGAGTTTATTAAATTCTGATAGTTCTATAAAATGGAAGAATTTTTTGCCATTAAAATGATGATGTTGATCTGCCTTACATGTATTTGCATATACATATATATAAGAATCTTAAGATTTGTGATTTTATAAAACTACTTACAGAGTACAATCATACTAATGAAAATCTGTTTGCTCAACAAATATTTTTCTGGAACTGCTATATATTAGAACCTGTGTTAAGAACTGGGAAGAAAATGTTGAACACAGTAATTGTAATCTTTTCCTCATGCAGTTAACAGCCTAGTAGAAAAGAAAGGGAATCCTTAATGAACAGCCATAGAACCTCTACCCTGGCTTTATTTTGTTTCAATTCCGCCTAACTGAATTAACACATTTATATCAAACCTGGCTCTATATTCCACATGTTCATTCAAGAAATATTCTTCTAGGCACTGAAATGACAGCATTGAGCAAAGTTTACCTATCAATAGCCTTGTGCATAAGAAGAAATGTAATAAAGTCTCATTTAAGATCAAGATTATGAACTTTTGGAGGCCGTAAATGCATTTATTTCATGTATGTCCAACACATCTTTTTTCTTATTGCTTATGTGTATAAAATAGTTTGTCATAATTACGATGTAATTTCATGGCCCTTGGTAACTTCCAATGTGCTGCATCACTACAGAATAAGTTGGAACTAATTTTCCCCTCATAAAAGCCCCCTAAGATTTTATCTGAACCTCTTTCTCCAGTGTTATTTAACATTGTTCATTCTCACATACTCTTGAATTTTCCAAGTTGCATTTGGTTGCAGATTTCTACGAATTTCCTATTTTTCCCATTTATTAGTTGGTCTCTCGATGTAGATCCTCAAATCCAACCCAGTCTTCAAATTCTAACTCTAATATTATCTCCTAAATCTTGTGTTCCTAATAAATGTTAAATCTCTATTTCTAAACCCTCAATGAATTTGGCCAGCATCTCTCTTGCTCTCTTGCAGCTTTTTCTATGCTGTATTATGGAATTTGTACACATGCACACACACACACACGCACACACACAGAGATTCATGTGTTTATATATAGGTAATATATATCATATACAGATATATATATAATCTTTCTTGAAACTATAGTTTTCATGAGAAGATTCATGTTTTAATTAATTTTTATGTTCAAAGTACTTACCACAGAAATAAAAAAATATTTTAAATATTAAAAAACATTTATTATCTAATACATGATAGATACTATTCTAGGTACCGTACATATATAGCTCCATATAATCATTCCAAATGTATGTGTTGTTATTATTATTAGAGAACATTAACTTACTCACCAAAGACTCATTTTTAAGGAGTTTATTGAAAATAGTAATATACATAGGGGAATGTATTTTCCTTGACTTCAATTCCCTAAAGCAGAAGATATGTAATAGCATTGCCCTGTACAATGACCATTATTATGTTAGCCATCACGGATTCTACAATAATGAAATAAGCCTCAGTTAACCGTAATCCCAGGGCTCTGATTCTTTCTCTGTCACTCCCTTTGGTTCATGAATATGCTCACGTGGTATACTGTTCATTTGAACTTGCAAACTTGAAGCATTTGGAATAATACAAAATTTCAAAACTATCAAAATCAGTTTTGTTTTACCTCAAAAATATTTTCCATGTTTCTAAATTTCTTATTTGTATTTTTTATACTATTATACTCCATGTTTCTCAGAAAACAGCATTCTTTTTCTTATTTTTTCTCTTTTTTCATAAATTCAAACATTGAATTTTCTTGGTTCTTTTCCTGTAATACCTACCTTTTGTGTTCCCTTCAGGCCTCTTAACTAAAACCCCAGGTCAAGGAGGTGACAACTTTCTGTGTCCTAAGCTTTCAAATAATGAGGCTGCAATTCCTCACTATAGTACATTGTTGGAAATCAGTCTTCACGGATAAGAAAATCTATTAGTTACATAATGAAGCTGGACTAAGGAATGGTTTTTCTTCTGCTGGCTGTTGCAGTTTGTGGAACAGTGTTACCAAGCTCCCTTGCAGGCTGTCCTAGACATAACTAACTGTTCCCTTTCTTTCACAGATCAACTGCATTTATTGTATTATTCTTACCTAACATAATCCTCTCCCCGTTTATTGTGGGAAAATGATTTTGCTACATAATTTTCTGGTCTTCTTTCTTCTTTTGTTTTGAAACAGAAACTGCAGCTGTTCCTTGAGAGCTTTAAAAACATCAATCAGTTTCACAGCTAGAGGTAGAATGAGGAAGACTCAACCTTTCCTTTTTTTCCCTCTCATTTTAACTCGGTTCTTCTATAACAACCACTTTTTTTTTTTTTTTGCATTAACTGGAACATGCTGGAGAAGATAAAGAATGAAATTTTAAGAGGAACTGGAGTTTTACCTCTGCCTGTGATCAGACACAGAGGAGGTAGGGAAATAATTCCCTTCTTTAACCCCAATCACTGCGGCTTCCTAATCCTCCTTGATACAGTTTTTTGATCACTTATTCTGGATCATTAGCTGACTATTATTTAAAACTCCAATGGCGTTCCACCATTTGAGGAAATAAATTTTTTCAAGTGACATTGCATCATCTACCCATTCCTTCTGCATTTGATCAAACCCTGATATTTGAAAATAAAGTATTACTATGATGTTGCTTATTTAAATCAATTTGTTTTGTCTGTAGTAATTGTAATATGAAAATGACTGTCTTCTTCTTTGAGGAAACTTCTTACCTGGTTCTCACTTTTACAAGACCTTAAAATAGAAGGTAAGTCTGAAATAAGACTGAAAATGGAGGGTAGGGTCAAGCTATAGCGTTCTTTAAGGAATTCTCACCAAATTCTGCTGGTGATGGGAAGACAAGTTTTTTGTTTACCAAATCTCCACTCAAATGCAATGTCAACAAGTACAATTCTGTGACAGAATCTGTATATTTTATTATATGTAAAAATATCTCTATCTTGAATTATTTCTCAATTGCAGAACTTTAATATTTGTCATTTATCATTTTCAGTCTGACATATGCTATATGCTCAACAGACATGGATGATGCAGTATATTTTAAACTGATTTTTTGGTTAGTACAGTAATTAGGGAAATACTTTGAATAGAGCTCAGTTTTAAAAATGTGAATCCACCATAGTGCATAGCACTTGGGCTATGGGAGTGAGTAAAAATATGTAACCGAGGAATCACTTAGAAGCTGCTTTTTGTAGTTTTTGGCTAAAGATGGCATAGGTGAGATTTAGTAAGTTTAGGGACTATTGAGTTGGGAATAATAACAGAAAGGAGGAATAAAGTGCATGGATATTGTGCTGGTAGAAGCTATGGGACTTAGTAAATAATTACCTTTGTTTGGAGAGAAAGAAGTAGGAATAAACTATTTTTAGTCTAGGCTGAGTAGGATAATTGTGAAAAATAAATTTCAAAAGATAACAGCCTGGGTGACAAAATAAAGAAAGCTGGATTTTATTTTTAAAATCTAGGTGCAATTCTCAGCCATGTAGTAATGTGACATTGTGCAAATCTTTTCACTTATAAGATCTTTATGTCTCATCAATAAGGTAAAAATATTGAAGAAGACTATCTTCAAGGTTGAACTAAAATTATTAAAATGTCTTTAGACATTATTCCAAGAAGTTTTATAAGACATGAACTATAAAAGGCAGGGACAGAGAGTGAGAGTGAAATGACATTGTTTTCAGATTCATGGGAAAGTGCTTATTAATTTGTTTTTGTTTTAAAGTAAGAAAAAGATAATGTATATGTAAAGAAGAGGAGATAAGTGATAATTTCTAGTGCATAGCCCTGCAGGACATAAGTAAGGAAAAGTATTAAAGTATTAACAAAACACACATGCACATAGTTTAGGAGTTTAAGATTTGAAAAAAAAAAAAGACTACGGTCTACCAGTATAGATAATTAAATCTTTGTCTATTTTATATATATCTTAAAATATATTCTTTTTTTTTTTTTAAGATAAAGTCTTTCTCTGTCACCAGGCTGGAGTGCAGTGGTGCAATCTCGGCTCACTGCAACTTCTGCCTCCTGGGTTCAAATGATTCTTCTGCCTCAGCGTCCTGAGTAGCTGGGACTACAGGCATTTGCCACCATGCCCAGCTAATTTTTTATATATTTCGGTAGAGACAGGGTTTCACCATGTTGGCCAGGATGGTCTCTATCTCTTGACCTTGTGATCCACCCACCTCAGCCTCCCAAAGTGCTGGAATTACAGGCGTGAGCCACCACGCCTGGCCATCTTATAATATATTCTAATAAGGAGGTTATATATTGTATATTTTCATAAATAAATTTTAAAACGTTATAAACGAATATATTTTCACATATATAAATAAATAAAAAGTTATAAGGGAATCAATTCAGGGCTGTTTACTCAAGTTTCTGAAAAAGGTAAAAAATGAAGCTGCTTACTGAGTGAGAATACTAGAAATAAGGTTAAAGACATAATGGCTGTAACAATGTTCAGAAGCAGTTTGCATGAGGAAAGAAAGGATCCAACAAGCCAAAATTAAATGATTAAAAGGAAATAGAAATCACTTTTGATAGTAGGTAACATGAAATTTAATTAGATGAATAAACACACTTTCTCTAAATATTTCTCAGCACTCACTTTACAGATTTGGAGATAATAGAGGATATATTCTCAAATTGGCTAACCAAATTGTCTTGGATAGAGAATTGTATGAAGTCATTTGGATAGGTGATGTTATAAGTCAGGGAATAAAGATATGTGAAGGAACTTGAAGAAATTTTTAATCAGACTAAAGAGAAGATTCAAAGGTACAGCTGGAAATTAGATTTATATTTCAGATTTTAAGATAAAAAATGGTAAAATGTAAAATGATGACAAAATATAAGACATAGTCACATCAAAGTAAATGGTGAGAATATGAGGTAGAGGTTACTGAAGCAGGTATAGGATGTCTGAGGTCAAGGTTTTGTTAGGGACATTAATACAGCTGTTAACATACCTGAAGTTTTCTTAGAATAATACAAACTATGTTATAAACTACAGTTACATATTACAGTTTTCAAAATATAAAGTATACATTCAGGATATTGAAAACTCAGAATCCCAAATATATTATTATGACTTTTCTTTAACTTTTTAGAGCTAAAGTCTAGTAGAAGAAATGGATAATAAGTAAACATTGAACATATGTATAGTTGTCTACAACAGTGAAGATTTTAAAGGGTGAGAATTTGATACTAAGTGAAAAACACAGGTAGCTAATGTAGATATGGATTTGTAACTCATGTGAGAAAAAATCCTCTCAAGAACTGACAATTTTAATCTAAGTCATGACAAAAGTGTGGGAATTGATGAGATGAAGGCTCAGTGAAAACATACCTGGAAGTGGATGTAAGAAAACCTGGAACTGTAGAATAGCTTGCAGCATTCCCTCTTTTTGGGGTGGGGTTGAAAATGGAATCAAAGAATACTGGTCCTTTATATTTCAATAATATTAAAACAAATTCTAACACAGTATAGCCAACAATGTATATAATAGAGCGGGCAAGTCTATTTTCCCTTCTTTATAATTTGAATAACTATAGATAAAAAGAGTTATTAACATATTTTCAATCTATAAGATGTAGAAATTGAATGTCATTGATTTAGATGTTAGTAAAAAAATGGAAGGAAAACATATCAATTATGAGAGTACATGGCAATTTGAATTGCTTTCTCAAAGCTCTAGATATTCTTTACTTAAAGGGGGAAACTAGAACCAGAGCCAGGGTGTCAGACTTCTTTCCTGCATAGGTATGCGATTACAAACACATTTTTGGCTAATTTCATTTTTTTTCTTCACTGGCAATGCTTGCTTTATTTCTAATATTGTATTCCCTGTTACTATGTGCTCTGACTCTCCAGTCTGGTATTTGTCCTGAGCTCTTCACTAATTCCATGTCTGAGTATATATTTAAATAAAATGAAATCAGTATTTTGAAGAGTTATCTACATTGCCATGTTTGCTGCAGCATTATTGGCAATAGGTAAAATAGGAAAACAATGTGGCCATTGATGAATGAATGGATAAAGGAAATACAATACACACACACACACACACAATGGAATAGTATTCATCTATATAAAAATAAGGTTTTGTCATTTGAGACAACATGAATGAATTTGGAGGACAGTATGTTAAGTAAAATAATACAGATACAGGTAGACAAATATTGTATGATCTCTCACATGTGGATTCTAAAAAAGCCAAATTCATAGAAGCAGAGAGTAGAAAGGTTGGGGCAGAGCAGCAGGGTTGATAGTGAAAATAGGGAGATGTTGGTAAAGGTTACAAACTGAGTTGTAAGATTGATAAGTTCTGGGGCTCTAACATATAACATGGCAACTCTGGTTATAACAGTGTATTATTTACTTGAAATTTGATAATGAAGTATATTTTTTTGTCTTCACCCACCCCCGGCCACACACACACACACACACACACACACACACACACACACACAAATTGTAACCATGGGTGATGACGGATATGTTAATTAACTTGACTGTAGTAATCAGTACACGATGTATGAATACACAATATATGAAATCATCACATTATACAACTTTTAATATACACAAATTATATGTGTCAATTAATTTAAATTAAAAATTATGCAAAAAAAGTAAAACAGTAGAACACACACAAAAGATGAAGTATTTTATTTATTTATTTAGTTTTATTATTTTATGAGACGGAGTTTCGCTCTTGTTGCCCAGGCTGGAGTGCAATGGTGTGATCTTGGCTCACTGCAACCTCCGTCTCCGGGGTTCACATGATTCGATGGAGTATTTATTTAAATTAGATCAAAGTGGAACTGAACTGGGATTACGCAGAATTTGGGGACTAAGTCCAGTACTATTTTAAATGGGTAATTAATGCAGGAATTCATGACATTACAGATGGTGATTTGTAGTGGGCTGGTACTTTGCGGATGGTGTTTGCTCAGGTGGGGCTTGTGATTTTCCTCACAACCTCTCTTGGCACCTTGATTCCTCTTACTCCTATCTCTTCTACATCTGATGTCACCAAAAGTAATGCATGAATAAATATTTTTTCAAATGTTGAAAGTTGATGGGCCATGATCCCACTATGATACAAAATCAGTGCAATTTGTCAAGTACTTTTTATCATTTGATTTGGTTAAAACACTAATTCAGTACTTCAGTGGATAAAATATCAGCATTTCAGCATATTTCTTAAACCTTATTTTGAGAAGGCTATAAATAAATAATTCAATGTAAACTGGACTGGGGCATATGAAGAATAGGTTAGAAACTAAACACAATGGAAAATCATAGGTGGAAATTTCACAGAGAAAGCTTCCTTGAGGGACATTTGGGATGAATTTTGAAAAATCAAAATAGTTTCAAGTGATGAGAGCTGCAGATTAGAAATACTATAGGTAAATGTGGAAGCCTAAAGAAAGATAAAAGAGTAAAAGCCTTTTGAAATTTTGATGTATTCCTCCAGATAGGATAGAGCTACTAATCTAAATGTGATATTCGTTCTAATGTGAGTACTAATTGAAATGAAAGGAATAAATAAAATTCCAATTAAATATAGAAATTAAATATAGAGGGAATAAAGAAAAAAGACAGAGTACAGAGGATAAGTAATCCTTGCAAGCAACCAAAACACCTCTTTGGTTTTTGCTCCCAATCACTCCTCTTGCTTTCTACCCTAAAGACCTCAAACCCTACAGTTTTGTCATTTATTTGAAATTTATCCTTTCTTAATGTAATGAAATGTGTTCTTTTGTGTTTAGCTTCTTTTGTATGATTCTGTGTTTAAAGAAATTATCCATATTTGCATGATGACATATGGTTATTTTATTTATTTATATTTTCACTATTCTAAAGACCACCAAATAAAGTTGGTATTAGTAAATGCTGTTTTCTTATACCCAAAATAAAGGGAACATGCTTACTGTTTAATAAAATCTAACCTTCCGATTTTGTATAGATATTCTTCATCAAATAAAGGAAATTTTCCTCTTTATACTTTAAGTGATTTTAGAATGAATGGATATTGAATCTCCTGCTTTCTCTTTATCTTTAGTGTAAACATGTGTTTTTTCTCATTTTTTTCTGCTAATTGGAGTGTTAAATTTATTCACTTTTGAATGCTAAACCAACATTGCAATCTCTTTCATATGTTGTTGGATTCAAAATGCTAAGGTTTTGTTTAGAATTATTCTGTGAATATATATGAGTCATATTGGCCTTTTCTTTCCCTCTGAGGTCCTTGAAAGATTTTCAGTGTCACAGTTTAGATGTCCTCACATAAAAGTTGGGAAGTTGAACAAGATTGATATCAATTGTTATGTTTAAGTAATAGAAAAAAAAGTCACCAATGCAGTCATTTAAAATTGAGTATTTTAATTAACTATCATAGGATTACCAAGATTTTCTATCTAATTTCTGTCAGTTCTGGTTAATTGTTCTTTTAAAGCAATTTTCCCACTTCATCCATGTTGTCAAGTGTATGGCCATAAACTTTTTCAGTAGTATCCTCTTGCAATTTTTAAGCATCAATAGAATGTGTAATGATACCCCTTTTATTGGTGGAATTGTTATCCTTCTTTATTTATTAATCTGTTGTGATAGGGACTCATACATTTTATTAATCTTTCCAAAAAAGCAACTTTTGCTCTATTGATACCCCCACTTTGGTTGTCTGCTACTTAGTTACAACTTATGTCCTTAACTGTATTATCTATTTTTATTTTATCCCCAGATTTATTGAGGTATAACTGACAAATGAAAATGATATATATTTCAGATGTATAATATAATGATTTAACATATTAATATATTCTGAAATAATTACTACAATCAAGTTAAATAACACATCTATCACCTCACATCTCATGTAGCTACCTTTTTTTTTGGTGATGGAAACACTTCAGATCCACTTTCTTAGTAAATTTCAAGTTTACAAGAGTATTAGTTTGTTTTCACACTTCTATAAATACATACCTGAGACTGAATTACTTTTAAGGAAAGAGGCTTAAGTAGCTCACAGTTTTGCAGGCTGTACAGGCTTATGCTTCTGGGGAGGCCTCAGGAAACTTACAATCATGGTGAAAGGTGGAGGGGAAGCAAACACATTTTCATATGGCCAGCAGGAGAGAAAGAGGGAGAGCAAAGGAGGAGGTGCTATACACTTTCAAGCAACCGTATCTTGTGGAATCTCTATCACGAGATAGCACTAGGGGATGGTACTAAACTATTAGAAACCACACCATGATCCAATCACCTTCCACCAGCCTCCACCTCTAGTACTGAGGATCCAATCCAACGTGAACTTTGAGTGGGAACACAGAGTCAAACCATATGAACAACACAATACAGTTTTACTAACTATAAATTACTATGCTGTACATTAGATCTCCAAAATGTATTTATTTTGTAATTGTCTTTTTTTGGTAGTTTTATTTGCTCTATTGTTAGGTTTTTAGAATGGACACTTAGATCATTTTAACTTTTTTTCTTAACTAGTATGTGCATTTAAAGCTGTAAATTCTCAGCTAAATACTAATTTAGCTGCATTCCCAAATTTTTGAGATATCGTAATTTCAATTCAGTTCAAATTTTTGTTTGTTTGTTTGTTCGTTTGTTTTTTTGAGACAGAGTCTCGCTCTGTCGCCCAGGCTGGAGTGCAGTGGCATGATCTCTGCTCACTGCAAGCTCTGCCTCCCGGGTTCATGCCATTCTCCTGCCTCAGCCTCCCGAGTAGCTGGGACTACAGGGGTCTGCCACCACATCTGGCTAAATTTTTTGTGTTTTTATTAGAGACGGAGTTTCACCGTGTTAGCCAGGATGGTCTCGATCTCCTGACCTCGTGATCTACCCGCCTCAGCCTCCCAAAGTGCTGGGATTACAGGCTGTGAGCCACCGCACCCAGCCCAAATTATTTTTTAGTTTTCATTTTTTAGATCCAAGATATATTTGGAACTATATTCTACAATTGCAGATAATTTGGAATTTTAACAATTTTCTTTCTGACTTTTATTCCCAATTTAATTCCCCTAAGTACAAGAATATAACCTGTATTACTTAAATAGTTCAAAACACTCTGAGACTTGCTTTATGGTCTATCATATGGCCTTTTTGGTAAATGTTGTATGTTCAAATGTTGAAAGTGCAGTTGTTGGGAAAGTTTTTTACAAATTCCTGTTAGGTCAAGGAGGGTCCATTATGTTTCTTAATTCATCAAAATTGCATGATTTTTAAAAAATATGCTGGTAGTATCACTTACTGATATCTCAAATATAATTTTGGATTTGTCCATATGAATCCCACAAATTTTACTTTAAATCTATGGAAGCTATACAATGAGTTTTACTATTTGTTGATTTTCCCCTTTTTAAAGTGTGAGTACTTCTTTGTCTTTAATAATATTTATTGCCTTAAAATCTACCTTTTGTAACATTAATATAGTTTTAGCAGCTTTGTTTATATTAAATTTTGTGTGGTATGAGTTATAGTTTTACTTTCAAATTAGTCATAATTATTATGCCTAACTTTGATAAACAGCATTTAGTTACATCATTTATTAGGTTTTTAATTCTGCCTGAAAAATCTTTGTCTCTAAGTTGGAGTTTTTGGTCTATTTATATTTAATATGGATTAGATATAATTAGCTTTAATCTAACATCCTTCTATTTTGGGGGTGTTGTATCCATTGTTTCTTTTTTTCCCACTGTTCTGCTTCCTTAAATTAACCAACTAATTTTTACTCACTTTATGGTCTCCAATGATTTTTAATGATTTTATTATAGAATAATTAATAGATGATTTTAATATAAAATAATCAATAGATTAAACTGCACATATTTGTATAAGCCCACAAATCCATAACTCTAATCAAGATAGTGAACATATTTATAAGAACCAAAAGTTTTTCAAGTGTTTCGTTGTAGTTACTACCACCTTGCTACTGCCCCTGCTGCCCAAATCCCAGGACAACTCTTATAATTTATTTCATTACAGATTAGTTAACATTTTATACATATGAAATCATAAATATGTACTTTTTGCCTGGAATCTCAAATTCAGCATAGTTATTTGTATATTCATCCATGTTGACAGTTCATCAATTGTTCATACTGTTTTGCTGTGAAATGAAATTTGTATTATATATACCATAATTTCCTTATCCCTTCACATTTTGATGATCTTTTAGGTTATTTTTACCTTAGAGCTGTTATAAGTAGAATTACTATATACATTATTGTACATGAATTTTTAGTGGAAATCTGTCATATATCTTGATTATATACTTAGTAGAATGACTGGACTGTAGAGTTAGTGCATGATTAACTTTTTGAAAATGTCAAACTGTATCTAATATGATCATACCACTTTACATTTTCATCAGCGGTGCAAGAATTTGTTTCTCCACATTCTCATCAACACATGGTATTCTTTCTGTTAAATTTTAATCATTCTAATAAGTACCTAGTGGTATCTTGTGGTTTTAATTTTTTTCTAATGATAAATAGGCTTATCATCTTTCAAATACTTATCTGTCATTCAGATACCTTCTCTACTAAAGTGTCTGTTCAAACCTTGTCCACATTTTAATTTAGAAGCTGGGTTTTACTACTGATTTTTGAGTTTTTATATATTTTAGAAGCAACTTTTAATAATCAAACTTATGATTTGCAAATATATTCTCTTAGTTTGCAGTTTGTCTTTTTATTCTCTTAGTATGTTTCAAAAAACAGGAGTTTTTAATCTTGATGTAAGGCAATTCATCAATTTTTATATGGATTTTGCTTTTGGTATTGTATCTAAAAAATTTGCATAATCCAAGGTTATAAAAATTTATTCCTATGTTTTCTTATGTAAAAGCATGTAATTCTAAGTTTACTTTGGTCCATGATTCACTAAAAGTTAAGTATTATACATTAGGTGATGTATGGGTTGAAGTTAATTATTTGCATATAGATATCTAATTGTTCTGGCACCATTTTTTGAAATGGGGTTGAAGGATTATATATTTCTTGCAATTTATAAGAAGAAGAAAGTAGTATCATTTAAATATTGGTAATGATACTCATTTAAACATGTTGTAATCTCTAGAACAACCACATGTCTCAATAAAGTATTGGAATTATTTAGGGTATTTCATATGACGGTGTAAAATTAACTTAGAAGTTAAAAATATATATTTGAAAATTAAGAATGTCTAAATAAACTGTGTCAAAGAAATAATAACTTATGTGTCAAGTAAGTAATCAGAATATATTTTATGAATATTTCACATGGTAGAGAACATGCAAAATTTCAAAACTTATGAAATACAACTAAAGCCATTATTACAAGAAAATTGTGTAATTATTAGAGTAATCTCAGTTAATCTATTGCAGCTCTGTGTTTTTCTCTAGAAATATTTGGAGACACAGTGCTAAAACTTGATCAAAATGAAATGGAATTTACTAGTTAATGACTCATGCTTTTGTGTCTGATACAATAAGGGGTAATCTGTAGCAAATTTCAGCTTTGTTTTTCAATAATGTGCAGAATTCTGCTTATGTTATCACTGTGTCTGTTATTGACACTGATGAAACAGTCTGGCTTCAGTTAAATAAGCAGAGGGGTATAAAAGACCTATTTGTATCCTGGGGGGCTGAGGAAGTACTCTGACAACTTCCCTAATGCTGTTCTAGACTTGTATTTGTTCTTCCTGCTATGTATTCTTTGTTTATGCTAAACTATTTTATGGATATGTAATTTGTTTGCTCCTATGAGTCCTTTCAAATATCAGGATGGATAAAATTAGTGTAGTTGGTGGTGGTGGTATAGTTGGCAGAATAACAGAATAATCAAAATCATGTGTGATCCTATTTAATAATGTAGCAGGTGTTATTTTGAACAGAGAAGAGAAAGAACAGGAGGAAAAGGAACCTATACCTGGATTGCTTTCAAGATATCTATGGTTGGAGTTTGAGCAAATATCTGTCACTGACAATCAGAAAAGTTTCTAACTGTCACTGACCATCAGAAAAGTTTATCAATGGGACTTAAATGTGGCAGACCCAACACTTGGATTCATTGTTATATCAATTTTAAAAAGTAATTCAGACAGAAAAGAAGTCAACTGAGAATTTCAATAGCTATTGCTGAGGTATATATTAATTGCTAGGACCAGGGAGTTACCGCTCTAGGTTAAGACACAGTGATCTGAATGTATGTTTGGTTTTTCTCGGCATCCTCACTTAATAACACCCTGTAAGAAATGTAAACGAATGGAGAGATGTTCAGTCTATAGAGCTGGTTTAGGTTAAACTTATATAAAGATTACCTTGAGAGGGGAAGTTGACCAATTACACCTTTATACGTTAAAGAAAACATTCCTGAATCTGCTAAAATTTTGAGAATGTATGCTATTTTGGGTTGGTTATATGATGATGTTAAAGTATCTCGTAAGTGTGTGCCTTAAAGGTCACAATTGGTGCCATAATAAATGGAGTCTTGCTTCTTTGAGCATCTCATTTTACATTGTGACTGGAAATTAAGACAAAATACGGGAAGCTATCTAAAATCTACTAGCTAAGCTCCACAAAATGGGACTGCATGACAGAGAGAAGATACAGATTATTAGAAAAAAAATTGCAATAATTTAAAAAGGGATAATAAAGGGCAAGATGGTTAAACCAAATGTTACTGGCCAGGAGACTAGTCAAATGTGGCACGAAAAAGGAAGAGAAAATTGAAGTGGCAGCTCAAGTGATTGTAGATTATTACATGAGATCAGTTGGCCAGGATGCTCTAACAGCTCCTTAGAGGAAAGGGTAGTAACAGATTTGCTCACTTGCTCTGGTCATGATGAATTTAAAAACCTGATGATGACACAAAAGTGGAATCTACAGCCTCTTCAGAAACAGTACTGATCAAAATGGTATGGGCTGAAAAAGAAGACATGAGTCTGGGTGACCAGGTAGCTAAGGTCTGTTAGTACAACCCCCTGAGAGAATCTGAGATATTGTGCACCAGTGTGGGTAAAATAGACTGAGAGTAGTGAAAAAAACATTAGTGTTTATCAACTATAGCTGTTTAATGCACACTGATACCTAGACCCGCAATTACAAATGGGAAGGTTAATGCGTTAAATTTAAAATATATGCTGACAGTGCACAATGGCTTTCATCTGTAGTCCAAGCACTTAGGGAGGCTAAGGAGGGCAGATCGCTTGATCCCAGAGATTCAAGACCAGCCTGGGCAACATGTGAAACCCCATCTCTACAAAATACAAAAAATTAGCCGGGCGTGGTCGTGCATGCCTGTAGTCCCAACTACTCGGGAGGCTGAGGCACGAGAATCGCTTGAACCTGGGAGGTGGAGATTGCAGTGAGCTGAAATTGAGCCACTGCACTCCAGCCTGGCAACAGCATGAGACCCTGTTTCAAAATATATATATATACACACACACACGCACGTATATGCACACACTAATACATATATATTAATATATATACGTATATACTAAAATATACACATGCATATGTGTGCGTGTATATATAAGTTTTAAACCTTTCACATATATATGGTGATGCTACTGTGGAAGGTTTAAAACTAAAAATGTAGCTTAAGATGTGAACTTATGCATAAATATCATGTATGATTATAATGTCACCTATAATTTATGCATTATTGGAATAGATATGATATCTAAAAGGAAAACTCTTGTTTTACACAAATATTCAAGGAAAGAGAATCTCATGAAAATTTGTCCTTCATCCTATTTTTTTAAAAAAGATTTATCTAGGTATAATTGACATACAATAAACTCACAGTAAGCTGCATATTTTTAAAGTATACAAGTTGATAACTCTTGACTTTTGTAAAAATGCATTGTGTGAACATAGTGAACAAATCCATTACCCTCAATTTTTTTCTCACATTTCTCCTTAATCTTATTCTCTTGATGCTCTCACTATTTCATTCCCAGGAGAAAACTGGCCTGATTTTTTGTCACTATAGAGTGGTTTGTGTTTTATTGAATTTTGTATACGTGGAGTCATTCAGTATGGACATTTTTTGAGGGGAGGGAACTGCCTTACTCATTTTTCTCACCACAGTTCTTCGAGATTATCAATGTTGTAAAAGGGTTTTTATGTTACTGATGAGTGCCCTTTCATTGTACAGCTATATGCTGATATTTGCTTCACCATTCCTTTGTTAATATGTACTTGGGTTGTTTCCAGTATTGGGCTATTAAAAAATACTCAGGGCCGGGCGTGGTGGCTTGCGCCTGTAATCCCAGCCCTTTGGGAGGCCGAGGCAGGTGGATCACAAGTTCCCGGAGTTCAAGACCAGCCTGACCAATATGGTGAAATCTCGTCTCTACTAAAATTACAAAAATTAGCCGGGCATGGTGGCATACGCCTGTAGTCCCAGCTATTTCGGAGGCTGAGGCAGGAGAATCGCTTGAACCCAGGAGGCGGAGGTTGCAGTGAGCCAAGATCACGCCACCACACTCCAGCCTAGGCGACAGAGTCAGACATCGTCTAAAAAAAAATCAGTAAAATTAGTTGGGAATATTAGTGTAAAAGTCTTTGTATGGACACATGTTGTTGTTATTCATTTTTGGTAAATACCTAAGAGTGGAATGGCTGGTAGGTGGTATGTTCAATGTATGATGATACTACCAAACTATTACCCAAACTATATACCCAAAGTGGTTGTAATATTTCATATTCCTCTATACATTGTGTGAGGGTTCCATTTGTTCCAAATCATCAACACATGCTATGATTATTCTTTTTAAATTTAGTTCAAATAGTATATAGAGTTTCCTTATTGTGGCTTTATGTTTCCCTAATATTCATCATTTTTTGCAACTTTTCACAAATTAATTTAACTTCTATATATTTTGTAGCGACATTTCATTCAAATCATTTTTATTAGGTTGTTGGAGTTTTTATTGAGTTTTGAGAGTACTTTTTTAGAAATATAACCTGAAATTGTTTCCATATAGCTTATTTTTTTAACGGTTTATTTGGAAAGAATACTTTTTTAATTTAAAAAAATTAAGTACAATTTATAAAGGTTTTCCACTGGCAAAATTTAATAGTTGCCATATTCCTTATTTAAAGTCCTCCTAGGCTTCCCATGAGACTCAATTTAATTAATTTAATTTAATATCACATATTTCATAACAGATTTAAATGGGAATGCAACCTAAATACTTGATATAAAGACACAATGGAAAATATGCATTTTGCTTCCTTCAACAAGTCTACCATTGCCTGTCCATGTCACGTGTTCCTCCTTGAGTACCTTGCCCCAAACATAGTTATAATTGATTCCAATGAACAATGAGTCAACAACACATAGTCCCCTATATTTTTTTCCCAGAAATACCTGAAGTAGTAAGGTGGGTTTTGGCTTAACATCCTAACAATGAATATAATACTGTTTTAAGCATTTCCATGCATTTTAACAGTTATCGAAAGAAAATTAACTCTCAATTGTGTAAGCCTCTTCAAATTATTTTGTGTAAGAAGGGGACATCTTACTCTTTGTCATCTGTTATTTATCCCAGTCAGAGCTATGAGGGCATGATTACCCTTGGCTTATCAATTTAAATTAGCTAGAGAAAAACAAATATAAGAAACATTCAACATTGACTTGTTGCACCAATATAAAACATAATTCAGGAATAGCAATAATAAAAGGCAGAGCAATTATTATATATTTAGTACTTAATACCTTGTGGGCATTGTATTTATCATGTTATATGTCATATATACAGATCCTCTTCAGAAGTAAGCCTAACTCAAGGATGTGTGTTTAGAGCACAAAGTTCATTGTCTTTGATCTCAATCTACCGCCTATTGGTTTTATCTTAGGAAATGCATTTCTTGTCTTAGAAACCTTGCTTTAGGTATGAATGCTCAATACACCAAGATTTTAATAACTATGAAATTTAGGGCAAATTTTTGTCTCTTCTCCAGTAACATTCAGAATTTTAACATCAGTGGGATCTCTCACACATAGAAAATTGTTTTCCTTTTACCAATCTTCATATATAAACCTTATTTTATTTGTTTTTACTTGTCACTCCGTATAACAAAGCCAACTATACCGAGAAAGAATGTTTTTCTTTACTCCCTGTGTGACATTAGTCACTGAACTAAAATAAACTCGATTCATTGTATAATAACTAATAATGAACTGAGTTTTAATGTCCAGTTTTGACACTGAGCGGTTCCTTTAACCTTTCTGTAATTTATCACTAAAAACAAAAATAATACTAACAAATCTATCATAGGCTACAGAATAGAGCTTTGCCAAAGGCTCAGATATGTTTCTACCACCCTTAAAGTGGCTCATATAATGCGTTTTACAAGCATAAATCTGTTTGGTTAGCCTCAATATCTACATGTGTTTGTATTAATCTGAAAGTAAACATATTTTTGGATCAAATAAAGATTCTTATTACTTGCAGCAATAACTACATCAGCCCATACTGTCTTCTCACCATTTGAGGATGATGCCATAAGAGCCAGATGGAACATGCACATGCAAAAAATGGTTTGTGCACCACCAGACAGAAACCACAAGGTGAAATTATGAATCTTGGAGTTTCTGTACTGCATATAGCCCCCTCTCCTAAAAGGTGAGAAATACTTGCTCCCTAATATTTTAGAATGCTTTGTAATGTAAATAGCCAGCTTAATGACTCAGGTTTCATTCTGAATTGAAATATAAAAACTTTTTTTTTGTTGTTAAGAGACAGAGTCTTGCTCTGTCGCCCAGGCCAGAGTGCAGTGGCGGGATCTCAGCTCACTGTAACCTTTGCCTCACGAGTTTTAGCAATTCTCCTGCCTCAGCCTTCCAAGTAGCTGGGACTACAGTTGCATGCTGCCACGCCCAGCTAATTTTTCGTATTTTGTAGAGATGGGGTTTCGCTGTGTTGCCCAAGCTGGTCTTGAACTCCTGAGCTCAAGGAATCCACCCACCTCGGCCTCCCAAAGTGCTAGGTTTACAGGCATGAGCCACTGCACTCTGCCTATAAAGACATTTTAAAGATAAACCCCTAAATCTCTCTGGAGGTCTCTCTTTCTATCTCTTGTCAGTCATCTTTAACTTCCAAGTCTTGCCCTTTAACCTAGGTTCCAGTTTCTTTGCTTAGAAAAGTATAACTGAGCAAAAACTTAAGCTTACTCACCTCCTCACGATGTTAAATTTAAATAAAACGTTCAAAATTATGAGGGATAGAAATCTACATCAAAAAAATCAACTCTGAAATTATTACCTATATATTTTCTCAAACCTGACCAAGGGTAGCTCACTATTAACATTTTTGCAAATAATACAACCAAGCTGTATTACTTAGAGCCTTTTCTACATAACACCAAAAAGTCAAAACATTTTTCAATGAAAATTAAATGTAATAGGCTGTTTTCATCTATCTAATTGCCAATAACATGGGATAAGATGAAAATATTGCATTTCATATCATTGTTCATCATATGACATTTCCTCAGAGACTTAATCCCCATGCAACATATTTGGAAACAACCAAAGCTTTAATAAGTGAAAGTCAATGAACCTCATGTACCTTTTATAAAACATGACATAAGGCAATATAATTAAGACTAAACTTATTTCCTGTGGTGAAATTAACTTACAGAAATGAAGGTGTTTATTTATTAAATGGGATCTCTGGAGCTCTAGCCTTATTCTTTCCCCTCCTGGGAAGGTTTTGATTGTTTGCCTCCTTTCTCTTGCCTGCTTGCTGTGTAATTTAAAACTGATGCTTTCCTTTGGGAAACAAAATTTGATCAGAGAACAGCCTGCACCACCAGCTAAACAAATTACCAATGTTTTACTCACTTTTCTTTCTGTATTCCTTTTTTCCCCCCGCAAGAATCAAAGAATTGTGTGCAGGGGTTTACAAGTGCTGTTGTACAGTTCAGATTTAATTTGCAATAAGGAGGACATATCAGTCCCTTTAGTGACATATAGCTGCTTGATGAAAGTAAACTTAGGAACAAACAGGTTATTATTCTCTTTTTTCCTATTGCCTGAAGTCTTTCTCTGACAAGCTTTTGGTTTCTAAGGAGCTAGATTTTGATAAGTGATTAAATTACAAATATAAAATAATTAAAATAGAAGCAATTTTTAAATTATTTCTTATACAAGCAAAGACCAAAAAAATTTTATAGTGCAATACTTTAAAATAGATAAGATATATCATATAAATACCTTTTCATTAACTTGTTAAATACAAAAATATTCCTGGAACATTAATTCTGTCTCAAGAATTATGGAAATGACTGCTATTAGAAGGTATAATTTTGAATAATATGCCATGTATACTTGGCAAAATTTATGTAACATTCTATTCACTTATATTGAGAAAAGCATGCTTAGAAATATATTTATCATGCCTTTGGATAGCACTAAGATAAGCTTTATTATTCACATGATTACTGGATAATAATCAGAAATCTTTTTAGAATATAAGTAAATTTAGTCAGTAAATCATATGCATTGATGAATTATTTTTCACTTAACCTCATATTTGTTTGTGAAGGATTCTGTTCTAGTCCGCAGTGACATACCAAGAAAAATCTAACTTTAATGCACAGGTAACTATTCTTAACTTCTTATTTTCTTTGTAATCATCGAATATTTTCTGAAGTTAAGATTAGTGTGAACATTTTAAAATATTATCATTTAATAAAATCTTTATTACCATTTATGAATTTTACTTTTAAATTTGGAGACAGTTTATAAAGGCACAGAAAAATGCTACAAATGACACAGGCCTAAGAAATCTGGAAATACCTTAATAATTAAAATATTTTCATGTAGCCTTAAGGAGAGTTAGTATCAGTGTCCAGATGGTAACTCAGGCTTCCTTATGTGAGTCCAGTGTTCCTCCCATAGAGAAGCCTACACAAATTAAATATTTCATCTGTTCATTTATTCAGTGAACGAATATGCGTTAAGTACTCTCTACGTGACATTTTTGTAGGTGCTGAAGTTAGAATAGTAAAAAGATCATGATAAAGCCCGCAATCCAATAAGGAGATAGCCATCACCAATTATAAAGTATATATTAAAAATACCAAAATTCAAGTCTCAGTAACTTCAATCTAAAAAAAGGAAAAACATTAAATTTTAATTAATAGTACAAAGGAAAGAGAGGACTAATATAAAAATATCAGGGTTCTGAAACTGTGTGTATTTCTTAGGGGTTCTATAATATAAGAACCAAAGTGGACTTTTCTAGAGTTGTGACATTTAAATTGTGAAAATAAGATAGAGCTAAAAATGTGAAGAGGAGGTAAAAAAGGGTTTTAATGTGGAAAAAGACCGCAAGAAATGGCTTTGAACTCTAGAGACTGAATGGAAACCAGTGATGGCTGGATTGCATACTATGAGGATGAATATGATCATGTGTGCCCTTGTATGTGTATATATTAAGGAATTTGGATTATTTTTTAAGTGTAATGGAAAATGATGAAATGATTTTAAGCAATTAAGTGTTGTAATTCATTTCCTCACCATGCTGCCTTGTTGGGAATATATTGGAAGGATAGAAGTGTAGACACAATTCAGGATATTGTGGTAATCTTCCAACTGGGTAAAGTCAGTAAGTGGATTAGAATGTTGTTCCTGGAGATGGAGAAGATTTGAGAAATATGGGAGGTAATATTAACAGGATGTGTTGGCAAAACAGATACCATTCATAGAGTTATGAAATAAAGGGAGGTATATGACATATCTATTAGGATTTAGGTTTAGGAATGAATGTGAGTGTGATTTCCTGAGACTGTTGAATTTGGGGATGGGTAGTATCTGTGGAGGGGAGAAATTAAGATTTCAGTTTTGAACATCAGAAATTTGAGATGTCTGTGAGAGATACCCCAAAAGAAAATGCCAAGTGCAGAGTTGGCAGTGCACGTAGGAAATTATAGAGCTCTAGAAAAGAGAAATAAATTTGAAACATGACATTAAGCTGATCTTTCAAATCCTGGAAACCAGTAGTGTAATTAACTGGGGAATTCTAAGACAGACAAAGGACTAAAATGATGCCTGTGAAGTCCACCATTTTAGCAGCCAGAAACAGGAGAGTGAATAAAGGATGTCAAAAAGAAGATGTGAGTAAAGAAGGGGGTAAAATGAATAATAAAGGTGACTTAAATACCATCATGTATACAATAATGCTGAGCTCACCTCTCTAAATGCTACCTAATTATCTTTTAAATATGAAGACAGAAAAGTTTCTTTTAGATTTCTCAATACTAAGGCCACTGGTGACTGGAATAAGAGTAGTTTTACTGGAATTTTGCAGGTGAGAGCTGACTTTGCAATTAGTTGAAGTGAACACAAAGTGAAATATAGATACATTGTGTATGTATGGCTCTTTAGAGATATTTAGCTTTAAAAGGAAGCAATGAATTTGATAGTCTCCATATTATGTTATGGGGAAAGGAATTATTAATTAGAGTATATCTGTACACACATGAAATTTATTCAGTTGAAATAGAAAGAATGAGGATACTCGAAAGATGGATTAAGTAAAGACACAGATATTAGAAAGTCAAGAGTGGAAGGAATCCACAGCACAAGAGTATAAATTGTGTTTTAGTAAGAAGAAAACTGTTTTCATGAGGAAAACATTTTAACAGGAGAAAAGAAGATATGAAGACAGGTATTTAGATGTCAGAGTGCATGGTGAGAAGATGTATCACTGTTTGTTTCCTTTTTAATAAAATGTAGACAAGACCACAGCTGAAAGTGAGAGGAGATGAAAAGATATGCAATGTTTGAAGAGAAGTCAAAGAGTAAAAAATAATTTTGGATAGTGAGGAAAAGAAACTCTTCAAATAAAAACGATTGAAGATGGTTGTATTTGTTCATGTTAAACTATGAATGACAAAAGAATAATAGTGGCTTAAATAACATCAGAGCTTTATATTTTCTTATGCATGTGTATTTACAGACCAGAATGAGAATGAAGATATCATGATCCTCAGGAGACCAAGCTCCCACATTTTTGTTGCACCAACATTAACAACAATTGTTGCTCATGAAGCAGGTTGCTTGCTTAGGCTCCTGATTCCAACATTTATATGCCTTCTAGGCAACAGGAAGAAGAAAAGAGAAAAAGAGAATGAGAAGAGTAAGTTTTTTTCTATTCAAGTACAATTCCAGTTAGTTTCTTGCACCACTTTATGTTATACACACCATACCCCAAAATCAACTCAAGATGAATTAAAGAATGAAATTTAAAACCCCAAACTGTAAAAACCCTGGAAGACAATCTAAGAAATCCCATCTGGGTCTTAGGAATGGGAAAAGATTTCATAACAAAGACACCAAAAGCAATTGCAACCAAAACAAAAATTGACGAATGGGATCTAATTAAATTTAAGGTCTTCTGTACAGCTAAAGAAACTATCAACAGAGTAAACAAACATCCTACAAGATTGGAGAAGATATTTGCAAACTATACATCTGACAAAGGTCTAATATCCAGCATCTATAAGGAACTTACAAATTTACAAGAGAAAAACAAACAGCCCTGTTAAAAAGTGAGCAAAACACATGACATACATTCTCAAAAGACTACATACATGCATCCAACAAGCATATGAAAAACCACTCAGTATCATTGAATATTAGAGAAATGCAAATCAAAATAACAATGAGATATCATCTCACACCAGTCAGAATGGTAATTATTAAAAAACTAAATAACAACCGACCCTGGTGAGGTTATGTCAAAAAAGGAGCACTTATATACACTCTTGGTGGAAGTGTAAAATAGTTCAACCATTGTGGAAAGCAGTAGTCAATTCCTCAAAGAGCTAAAAGCAGAAATACCATTTGACCCAGCAATCCCATTACTAAGCATATACCCAGAGGAATATAAAGCACCAGGGATCCCATTACTGAGCATATACCCAGAGGAATATAAAGCTTTCTACCATAAAGACACATGCACATGAATGTTTATTGCAGCTCTATTCACAATAGCAGAAACATGGAATCAACCTAAGTGCCCATCAATGACAGATTAGATAAAGAAAATGTGATACATATACACCACGGAATACCATGCAGCCAGAAAAAAATGATGAAGTCATTTCTGTTGTGGAAACATGAATGGAGCTGGAGGCGCTTATCCTTAGCAAACTGACACAGGAACAGAAATCCAAATACTGCATGTTCTCACTTATAAGTGGGACCCAAATGATAAGAACTTATGAACACAAAGAAGGAAACAACAGACACTGGAGTCCACTTGATGGGGGAGGGTGGGAGGAGGTAGAGGACCAGAAATTGTAACTACTGGGTACTAATCTCAGTACCTGGTTGATGAAATAATCTATACAACAAAACCCATGACACATATAACAAACCTTCACATGTTAAAAATCAACATTTTTAAAGAAATGTAGTTTCTTTATGTAGGGCTCAATTTAGTAACATGCACTCACTCAGAATAAGATAATGTCTAATTAATTAAGCAATACAAATTTGTGATTATTATACCCACATTTGTTTCTCTAATAGATATTTTAAATTGATTGAGAGTGAATGAACCCTGCTATTGAACACATCCTTATTTATCCAGATAATTTGCCTTTCTTTGCTACGAAAATTGATTTGTGCCTTTCTTATTCACTGAGCAAATTAAGAAGAAAATATACTTGCTGAAATGATAAAAATTCCAATAATTCATTATAAACGTTATGATATTGTATCACAACACTTCTAACTCATGTCTCTGACACCTGTCTCTAATTCTTACTCTCCCTTTCTTTCTAATATTAAAAGTCTACTAGATTGATCATCCAAAATTAATTATGATTTTGGCTGCCAGAATCATCTCACCAATAAATCAAAATTCTTGAGGGCTATGGAAAAAACTACTGAGGCAATTTCTGAAAAAAAATATGAATATATTTGATTAGTCTCATGACACCATTCATACTGTGAAATCAGGCAAAGTATTAGCCTATCACCAAAAGAGAAACTTTCATAAGCAATTTTTTAGCTTAAGGTGGCAATTGTCTTTAATTCTCTCAGCATCTAATAGCCTTTAAAAATTTTTGATAGTTCAAAGTGTGATAAACCAATGTATAATTTAGATAAGTTGTCTGTTTTTTTTTTATGGTACAGAAGTAAGTTGTGTGATTTCGACTGAAGTTTACCAGAGATTGCATACCATTTGATTGGGATCTCTTTCAGGAATGGTGGAACAATTTAAAACTTAATTGGTGTCCGAGAAAGAATAAAAGAAAGCCATTTTATAGTTGCCGGAATGCTCAAATTATTCCCTGTAGAATCAGAAGTGACCGAAGTAACAAATGACCCCAATTTTACTATGGTTTAGAAACAGAACAAAACAAAAAACTTCTTTTCATATTTTGTTCATGCTGCATAGTCAGTTAGCATGGGTCATTAAAGAGCTGTGCTCCATACAGGCCTTCAAGAACACAAGCTAACAAAATCTCCCTTGTCTTGCTTCCCTGACTAAAATATAAGGTTTTCTCAATCAGTCAGTGAAGCAGGGGGAACAGATTAGAAAATTATTAATGAGATTTTCATTGACTAGGCTGTGAAGAATACGCCATCTTTCTTCACAGCCCTTTGGCCAGAGCAACACATGACCTCACATTAAAGGAAGGTTTCTGGATAATGCAGAAAAGCAATGGCAAATGAAATCTTTAGTGGGTATTAATGTCTGCTTCAATTGGTTATTTTAATTACCAAATTCCTTCTTTCTTCCTTTTTCTAACTCATCAAAAATATTTGATATGTAAGCTATTTAACTTTCTGAGGGATTATTTCATTTTCCTTATCCTACTTGGTCAAATATAAAGTAGGCTTAGGAGAATATGTTCTTCCTGTTGTCTGTACCTCTTTTTCAGTTCATTACCTACCTTAGAAATTTTTTGGGTCAAAGCATAGTTATGATTCCATCCAGTCACTGCATCCAGTAGTATGGTCATAATATGATCTTTCAAAAAAGTAAAAAAAAATTTAACTGTCAGACTTCAATGTATGTCCATGATATAATACTGGAACAGTAAAAGTCTGCGATAATTATTTCCATTCATAACACTGAAAAATGGTAAACATATTTAATATATCGTCGACTGTTCCAAAGCAGTTATAAAATCCTGCTGGATAGATATTGAAAGAGCCTGTTACTCCTTGTTTCACTTGGAAGTCTTGGTTTCACTTCCTGGACGAGCTATCATCTTGTTTATTATTCATTGTTTTCTAGTCCCACCCTCTGAGAGAATCTGCAATGTTCCTTATCCTATTCAGCCACATCAGAAATAGGCCTAGGAGAATATGCATTCCTAGGAGAATAGAATATAGCCTACACTGTAGGCTATGCATTTTTTTTTTTCAATTCATTACCTACAGTTAGATATTTGGCAAGGGCCAAAGCAAAAGTTTTGTCTTAAACACTAATGGTACTTTTAAGAACTGACTCTTGCCATCTTTCATAGAATACATTTAGTAAACACACTCACGCATGGTTTAAGATGTGTTAAATTTGTTTTGGTTTGGTTTCTTCCATGATAGCTCCTAGTTTCTGTTCACCTCTCTTCTCAACTTAATATTGGATGCCTCGAAAGTACTATATTTGATAGGAAATACACATCCTCAATCTGATCTTTGCTCTGAGTAATTTGGATTGAGATGATTTGTGGGTGGGGAGGGAAAATAGGGTTTGGAGGCAGGGAACATAAGGCCGATTCACACTTCACCTATGACAGGAAATATCATCTCCATAGGGCATAGGCCAAGTAAACTACTTTGTAACTTTACTTCATCATCTCCTTTTATATAGGGCATACCCAAAGTAACTAATAAAATCTTCTATGGGATATTTAAACTCCAAAATATTCTGTAATGGACTTTTGAGCCCCTATGCTCAGGCCCACTCCCACACTATGCAGTGTACTTTCATTTTCCACAAATACCTTCCTTGCTTTGTTTGTGTGTTTTGCCCGATTCTTTGTTCAAGATGCCAAGAACCTAGACACCCTCCACCATTTGCATATTTTGACGAGCCAGCCAGGAGGAAAAGGTAAGCCCAAAGACTGGGATTCATTCTTCTTCTTTCTCCTTTCCCTTTCCGCTCCATATAGGGAATCTCTTTTCCTTTCCCACCTAAGAAACTTGGTGGGAAGTGCCTAAACATGGAAGCGACAGCAGGTTTCTGGCTATGGCTAGTGAAACTGAGGGGTTTCCATGTGAAGAAGCCTGACTACCACCACCACCCAGTTCACTTAAGGAATCTGGGCCTTTTTCAATATATATATATTTTTTTCTTTCCTTATTTTTCAGTCTTCAGCAGCTTCTTCCTTGTGTCTTCTTGGAAATTGAGGGCAATTGGTTGGCATCACTCCCTGGTACTGCCTGAAGGCCTAGAAATGAATGGGAATAATTGTCCTGTCCCAAAGGTGGAGGGACTTTTTTTTAATCTTTTCCACACATGGTCCCTGATCCCTACGTGTGGTACAGCTTGAAGCAAACTCTCACGTGTTTCAGGCAACTTAAACCTTCTTTACTCATGCTAAATTCTTCCCTTCCCCTATTCAACTGGCTAAGGGCAAAGAAACCCACCAAGTTCTAGTTCCTATCATTAAAGTTCATGGAATGCAAAGCATGGGAAAGCGTGGCCTTATCAAATTATAAGGTTGCTAGAAGTCAGAGATTACACCCAGGTACCAAGGTAAAGCTCATAGCAGGCTCTGGAGGGAATGTATGCAAAGTGGCTTGGATGCCCACCTAAGTAAGGCCAGAGACATCTGGAACTCTAAGATTGGACCCCACAGGAGAGCACTCTGTTGATCCTGCAGACCTCAACCTGCCCAAAGGGGACACTCTTAGCAGAGGTTCTGAGGTCTCGTATTAAATTCTCCTTAGAATTTTCTCGCAATTGCAATGCTGCTTGGCCCCGAAATTGTTTAAAATCTGAGGTTTACTGTCTAATGGGAAAGTGAGATGGCATTGCATGTATCCACGCTTTTGTGCTGCTATTGTAAGCAGGGTGCCTGGCTAATATGTGATGCCCTCCTTTGGTACTGTTTGGCCCCAGTGCTCCTTGGAGTATGGGGAGGTTTACTTTAAAACTCAAACTGCCATGGAGACTGCTTTACCCGAAATTTTGGTTCCCAGCCTTCCTTGGATTACCTATTGGGTCAAAGTAAAACCGGAAAGCTTGTATTGCTATCTTATGGCTAAGGTTCCCAGCTATTGAATCTTCATTTGTGTGTGTGAATACATGTCTAGATGTGTTTATTTGTATGTACACTTACTGTTATATGTTGTGTGTACCAAATTGGCTTATAAGCAAAAGAGCACTCATAAATTAAGTAAATATGTCTAAGCAATTTTCAAGTTCACGTGACCTAAGTATAACTTTACTAAACAGGCTAGCTTTAAAATTATTGGTGGAATAAAAATAGAAAGGCCTTCAGAATTGTCAGCATACATTTTGTCTGAATTTTATGTTTTGTCTTTGCTAGATATTTTTAAATGTCAGTGTTAATTCAAGCTGGGAGCTGCTTGGGACGAGCCTGCCTCCCATTCTATTCAAAGTCTCACTGAGATAAATGCATATCTGATTGCTTCCTTTGGAAAGGGTAATCAGAAACTCAAAAGAATGCAACTGTAGGTCTCCCACCTGTGATCTGAGAACCCCCAAGTCCCCTCCTCACCTTGAATTGTCCTGCCTTTCCAGGACCAAACCAATATTTGTTTTACATATGTTGATTGATATTTCAAGTCTCCTTTGTTAAAAGTAAAAAACTAAGTACAGTGAATAGGATAATTGTTTTAGGTAAACCTTTTGTGTAAATTAAAATCTTAAAGATATTTTTAATGCTTGTTTTATATCTGGATCATTTCCAATTAATAAAGAGTTGTAATATAGACAAATATATTTCTAAAATTGTGGACTTGTTCTTATCTATAAATGTCCTTATCTTCATAGTTCAAGATTTCTTCCTTTTTAGGGTTTCACTAAAGTTTTCTGTTACTAAGGATAAAAAATTTAGTTCACACGTAATTCTGTATAGAAAATGTGCCAGAAAGGCTTATGTTATTAGTGAAAAAAAGGAATAATTTTGTCTAATTCAGAAGTTATCTAAAAGTTAGTTCAAATTACAGATTTGAAAAGGTTATTTATGAAATGATGTAGTGAGGAATCATTAAGTAGGGGAGAAAGATGTGGAAAAGTTTAAATAATAAAATATTCTTTAAAATCTGATAGCAGTTTGGAGACATTTGGCTAATTAACATTTTCGTAGTTAAAGCTCTTAGTCTTGATTAAAGTTAAATAAGAAGTATTATGAAAATGCATCAGCAGTTTGGCAATTCTTTTTCTACTATAGTTAAGCATGAAGCTGGATTTAGTGTTGAGTCAAATTTCACATACATGTTTGCATTACTTCACACTATTTTTACAGTTTCGTGTGGAAAGTGCTAGAGTACTTATTAGTCATGTGCCTAAAATGAATTTCTTGATTGCATAGAATGTATAATGATATTGGTAAACTTAAGCATATTGAATTAAGTATGAGGAACAAAATATCCATTATGTGGGTTTTTTGAGGTCCTAGGTAACACTGTAACCTCCAGGGTAAGTTGAGTAGGATAATTTAGGGTTGGTTTCCTGCTTATTTATTTTTGCTTTGAGTTTTCATTCATTTGCTGTTTATTCTCCTCTGCCTTTGCTTGTGTATGCATGTATATATAAAACCATGATTATTTTAGTTCCGAGTTTCACTCACGTCCGTGTTAAGAGACCACCAAACAGGCTTTGTGTGAGCAACAAGGCTGTTTATTTCACCTGGGTGCAGGGGGACTGAGTCTGAAAAGAGAGTCAGTGAAGGGAGATAGAGGTGGGGCTGTTTTATAGGATTTGGCTAGGTAAAGGAAAATTACAGTCAAAGAGGGTTGTTCTTTAGCAGGCAGGGGCGGGGGACACAAGGTGCTCAGTAGGGGAGCTTTTGAGCCAGGATGAGCCAGGAGAAGGAATTTCACAAGGTAATGTCATCAGTTAAGGCAGGAACAGGCCATTTTCACTTTTTTTTGTGATTTTTCAGTTACTTCAGGCCATCTGGATGTATACATGCAGGTCACAGGGGATATGATGGCTTAGCTTGGGCTCAGAGGCCTGACATTCCCGTCTTCTTATATTAATAAGAAAAATAACATAAAATAGTGTTGAAGTGTTGGGGCAGCAAAAATTTTGGGGGTGGTATGGAGAGATAATGGGCAATGTTTCTCAAGGCTGCTTCGAGTGGGATTAAGGATGGTGTGGGAACCAAGAGTGGGAGAAATTAAGCTGAAGGAAGATTTTGTGGTAAGGGCTGATAATGTGGGGTTGTTAAAAGGAGCATTTGTCATATAGAATGATTGGTAATGGCCCGGATGTGGTTTTGTATGAATTGAAAAACTAAATGGAAGACACAAGGTCCAAATAAGAGAAGGAGAAAACCAGATATTAAAGGACTAAGAATTGGGAGGACCCAGGACATCCAATTAGAGAGTGCCCAAGGGGGTTCAGCGTAATTGCTTGCTTGGTTGGTGAATTTTTCGGCTCTATCCAAGTTTCTATTAAAGTGGCATTAATGATGGAGGACACTTGCATAGTGAGGCAACCTCTTTTTGCCCGTATAACAGCATGGTGGTGCAGGATATGGAAGGCATATTTAGAGTCAGTATAAATATTGATGCGTAGTCCTTTTGCAAGAGTGAGGGCTAGAGTTAAGGCAATGAGTTTGGCTTGCTGAGAGGTAGTGGAGGGGGGCAGAAAGTGTATGTGTCAGAAGTGAGGAAGAAAATAGATTTTGGAAGTTATGAGAACTATAGAGAGTGAGTTGAGCATAGTTTGTGATATTGAGGGCCTCTAAAAGTATTAAGGCAGCGGCAGCCGCCACACACAGACATGAGGGCTAGGCTAAAACAGCAAGGTCAAGTTGTTTGGATAAAAAGGCCACAGGGTGCGGTCCCAGTCCTTGTGTAAGAATTTCGACCACACAGCCCTGCACTTTGGCTGTGTGTGATGAAAAAGGGTTGGGATGAGTTAGGGAGAGGTAGTGTGGGAGCAGTCTCTAAAGCTGCCTTCAAGGAATGAAAAGAGTAGTGGGGAAAGGATTTAGGATCTATGGGGTCAGCTAGGTTTCCTAGAACAGAATAATGAGTTGTGGAGGGAGGTATTGAGGATAGGAGAGTATATGGGTTTGGCACCATGGGGTGGATAGGCAGAACAACTTGGTTGATAAGGCGTAGATCCTGAACTAACCTGTAAGGCTTGTCTGGTTTTTGGACAGGTAAAATGGGATAATTGTAAGGAGAGTTTATAGGCTTTTAAAGGCCATGCTGTAGCAGGTGAGTGATAAAAGGCTTTAATCCTTTTAAAGAGTGCTGTGGGATGGGATATTGGCGTATAGAGGTGGGAATGCCAAACTGAGGAATTATGTCTTACAGAAGGGAAGAAATGACTGTGGTGGCCTTTCCAGACCCTGTGGGAAAAGCCTCTACCCATCCAGTGAAAGTGTCTACCCAGACCAAGAGGTGTTTTAGTTTCCTGACTCGAGGCATGTGAGTAAAGTCAATTTGCCAGTCCTGGGCGGGGGCAAATCCCCAAGCTTGATGTGTAGGGAAGGGAGGGGGCCTGAGCAATCCCTGAGAAGTAGTAGAATAGCAGATGGAACACGAAGAAGTGATTTCCTTAAGGATAGATTTCCACGATGGAAAGGAAATGAGAGGTTCTAAGAGGTGGGCTAGCAGCTTGTATGGAAAATTACAGTCAAACGGGATTGTTCTTTGGCCAGCAGTGGCGGGGGTCACAAGGTGTTCAGTGGGGGAGCTTCTGAGCCAGGAGAAGGAATTTCACAAGGTAATGCATCAGTTAAGGCAGGAACTGGCCATTGTCACTTCTTTTGTGATTTTTCACTTGCTTCAGGCCATCTGGATGTATACCTGCAGGCTTGGGCTCAGAGGCCCAACAGTTCCATTTATCTGGAATTCCTAAGCTACCTTTGTCAGGCCTGCAGGAATTAATAGAGCACGCCAGCTTTTTATCCTTAAACTAACTTTTGGATTTGAGTCTTCCTGATACTTTAGATGTGTTGAGTATATTCTCACAAATAGAAGTTGAGTCATATTTCTCTCTTTTCCTTGTTTTTCCAAAATTTGTAAACTATCTATGAATATTCTTAATTCATGGCAATGTGTCTGTTTGCATACAGTCAAGCAGGGTCATCAGGGCTGCTCAGGGAGAAAGAACCCAGAAATCTGGCATGCCAACAAAAGGGTAAGAATTTCTAAACAGTCAGTGTCTGGCCTCTTTCTCTCAGTCTAAACTGGTTAAATATAAAGTAAAAGTCACTGCATATTTTCTCTGAAAGTTTTAATTAGTTAGTTCAATAATAAAAGCTTAAAGCAAATATTTTGTCAGAAAAGTAGAAAGTGTGATGTCTTTTAGTTCACATGACTTTAGCAATCTTTGGGAAATAGAGATGGTTTTCAAGATTATTGGTAAAATACAAATGTCTTCAAAATGTAAATTTGTGGTCTAAATTATGTTCTAATATTAAGTTTGCTAAATACATTAAGGTCATAAATTGCTTCTTTGGATTTTCAAAATTGTTTTAACTTGCCTGCTCTCCAGCTAGGTAAGGCCTGGGGACATGTGGAATTGGCCATGCCCTAGCTATGCTGGAAACAGTCAAACCTTATCAGAATATAACTTACCAGGTTTTATGTTAAAGTTAACATTTCTGAGTCATCATTGTAACGTGCAATTAAGACTATTAGAAACAGTTTTACATGAAAGGTGTGTAGGAACAGTAGAATTTTTTTTAAGGTTATAAGAGGTTTTTGCTTCTTTGAAATTTCTGAGTCATCATTTTGGTAAAAAATTAATTTATTGCAATCTGGAATTCCAAAATCAAACTTCAGTTTCAAGATTGTCTTTCCTAATGCCTGGCTTTCTGGATGGATCAGAGGGCCCCTGAAAACATCCAGAAAAGAGATAAACAAGATTAGTTGATATGTTTAGGTAGATGGGATTGCCAAAATGATGGTCAATCTTCTTTAGGTTATATTTTTGTGAATAATACTAACATATATTCCAAAACGGTATGGGGTTTCTAAAATTCTAATGTCTAATTGTGTGCTACCAATCACAATTATAGTTGTCATGTTGTTATTTTAAACCACATAAATAACCCAATTTCCTTGTATAAAGCTACTAACCCAAGTAAAACAATAAATTAATTAAATCTCAAGAAAATACTTTCATGTTAAACCAGCTAATACTGAAATTGTTTAAAAAGTTTGTAACCAAAGCTTGATCCCATATTACCGGGAAAACAATTAAAGCTTCAGGTACCTTTGGTCACCTGGTGGGCCATTTAAACGTTTTCATAAAGGAATTTTATTCCATTGTTATTTTCAGTGCATATTTTCTGGTTGTATACAAGCTTTCCCATGCAAGAGGGTTGATGTTATAACAGTAGATTATTATGCTACAATGTATTTTTGCTAGGTAAAGAAAGCTTTTTATCATTTGAATCTTCTGGAAACATCGGAGAAAGACTGTCCTTGCCAACCACATTACAGCAAAACTTTGGGACTTAGGGCTTTGGGTTCATGGTCTCACCACTGAGAAGGGTCCCTCCACACTTTTGGAACTGTGCACCCATTGGAACCCTTGATGTAAAGCTAACCAGGGAAATTTTGCCCAAGAAGATGGCATCTTTGATGTGAACAGCTTTTCCCAAGTTCAGATTAAGACTTCTATTGTCATGAAACTTTTATCTTTGAACACTTTTTTCTTGTTTATGCCTCTATGACAATAGAAATGGAAAAGAGGCCTGTTATGTGCACTAATGGGGTGTACTTTTATTTGTGAAGGAGTTTGCAGCCAGCCTTATACATGGATAAACTTATACTTTTATAGATAAAAGATAAAGGCCCAATGTAGGTAAGAAACTTTAATGGTATATATGTTGCCTCATAATCAATCAAATCAAAAACATTGGTCCACTCCTCTTAACCCATACGATGGGTTAAAAAGAGCATTGCCAGAAGGTCTTCACTCTTCTAAAAGGGCATCATTTGTTAGGTCCTTTTTCCATGGTTTAAAGTAAAAGAAGCAATGATTAGAAATGTATCCCTCATGATAGGTTCTATAGCAAATTCTACCGTAAAGGCTACAGTTACACAATAGACTCTAAATTCTCTTATGAAAGTTATGATAAAATTGGCTAAACAGAGAAGTATCTGTGCAGCTGCTGGCACTTGTGGCCTATGGGGAAGTATATCAAATGAAGATTATAGAAATTCAGTGGCAGGGGATTAACAAAGAGACTGCTTAATTAAGTGAATAAACTCTTTATCTAGCTCATTCTTTGATCTGTTTGATTTTAGGAGGTTTGGTTTTTGAGGACCTTGGGTAAGGAGCAACTCCTAACTCTTGATATTATCCTCCCAATGGTAATAATAGTAGTCTCCCTGGTACACTGTATTCTCTCAAAGGTTTTAAATGCTTGCATGCAGCCATCTCTAGAATGTCATATGGTCTCTCTTTAACTGGAAAAACATGAGCTGAAAAAAATGTGCAATGATGAGAACATCATAACCTATAAATGAAGTGCTGAGATGGGAAACCCAAAACGATGGTAACTGAGAGTGACGCTAAGCCTCTAAGTTTTGGTTACACTCTCACCTATGTAAGAGCCTGACCAAAAAGGGGGAATTTATTATAACAAAATTATGGGAGGTTATTGTTTTGGACCAGGTTCATGCACTAGGCCCCAACAAACCATATCAAACCACAATGGAGTCACTCATGCTAAGACTTTAAGGAAACACATAGATTCTAGAACAGACCAGGTTTTGTGTTTTCTCCTGAAAATCTTTATAGCAAATATTTTTGACAGCATAGGTATCCACCCATTGAAGTTCCCATTAAATCTTTTAACCAAATTCATTTCCTCTCGCCTAGAGACCATTAAGCTTCAGATGATCATGCAACAAAGGCTCCAGCCAGTTCCAGGTAAAGACACCACCCCGGCCATCAAGAAACTACCCTGCCTCCACTACACAGAACAGGGTGAGAGTTCTGTGGTCCCCAGTAGGTAGGGATTATGCCCCAAGCCAGCATGAAGCAGTTACCGGAAAAAAGCCATCGGTCCCTCTACCTCCCATAAAGCTTTATGGGAATCACATCTCTCAGATAGTAGATGAGGTAGCAAAATTGGGTGTGGAGGCAGGGAACACAAGGCCAATTCATACTTCAGCTATGACAGGAAATATCCCCTCTACAGGGCTTAGACCCAGTAAATGATTTTGTAACTTTACTTCATCCTCTCCGTAGGGAGCAGGCCAAGCAAACGACTTTGTAACTTTACTTCATCCTCTCCATTTACATAGGGCATACCCCAAGTAACCAGTGAAATCCTCTAGGGGGTGTTTAAACTCCTAAAATTTCTATAATGGGGCTTTGGAGCTCCTATGCTCAGCCCTGCCCCTGTACTGTGGAGCGTACTTTCATTTTCAATGAATCCTTTCATTCCTTCCTTGCTTTGTGCGTTTTGTCCAATTCTTTGTTGAAGACGCCAAGAACCTGGACACCCTCCATGATATGATTAACTTGGGAATCACGCATTGTTTTAATGCAATTTAATTATTGAAAGGCTCATTTTACATACTTCCTCAGTCATTATTTTTTACTTTTTGGGTTAAGAAGTGGGATTTTATATTATTATTATGATTGTAAATACTGAAAGGCAAACTTTTTCTAGAAATTCTATATTCACTTTCTGTTTTACATTCAAACGGGCATGTTTTTCTGAGATTTTCTCTTTCTTTTAATACCTAGCAAATATAGACAATAGACACCAACATGTGTTAAAATCATTATGTGTTTAAATCTTTTATCCTAAGGATCTAAGTTCACTAAGCAAGTTACTTTTTTCAATTGAATTTCACTTGACAATTTTTCTAAACCTTTTGCCACCATGTATCATGGTTTCCAGGCTTTGATATCAGTTTTCTCACTGTATGGAAATATTTTAGATTTTTCTTTAAGAGTCACCCCACTTTTGGTGCCAATTTCTTTACTACTCAATATTGGCTATAATAACATAAAGTAGTAAATTACCTTTCAACATTATGCTATAGTAACACAAATTTTTAAAATTTCAGTGGCTTGACAAGTGCAAATTTCTTTTTATTTATTTATGTATTTATTCTTTTTTTTTTTTTTTGAGACAGAAGCTCACCCTGTCACACAGGCTGGAGTGCAGTGGCATTATCTCAGCTCACTGAAACCTCCACCTCCTGAGTTCAAGTGATTCTCTTGCCTCAGCCTCCCAAGTAGTTGGGATTATAGGCTCTTACCACCATGGCCAGCTAATTTTTTTTATTTTTAGTAGAGATGGGGTATCACCATGTTGGCCAGACCGGTCTTGAACTCCTGACCTCAGGTGATCCACCTGCCTCAGCCTCCCAGAGTACTGAGATTATAAGCATGAGCCACTGTGCCTGGCCAGCAAATGCAAATGTAAATTCATGCTCAGATTCAGGGCTAGTTAAGGTCTATGAGGTACTTCATTTCTATTTATTAAACATACTTGTCCTCGACATCTGGTTTTTGAATTGTGATGAATAAATGCAATAGTCCTTGGAACTCCCTTTCACAAAATATTCTGTTGCCTCTCCTAAATTAAAATATGCAGTACAAATGCATCAGCTAAAATTCAAGGTCTTAAGGTGTAATTCTCATCTTTATTTTCAACTACATTCTATTGGTATCGATAGATAAAATCTGTGTTCTCCAAATATAAGTTTCATTTCTACATAAATATTTTATTCATTTGTTCATTCATTCATTCATTCATTCTTATTCTATTAAAATTACCTAAATTCTAGCACATTCTGGAATATTAATGCTGGGGCCTTGGAATAAAAAGTGAAAAAAAGTGTTAACTATCATCTTTGAAATTTACTTTAACAAATTATTTAAATGTTTGAGTTTTTATTCTATTATGTGATTTTTGAAGGTGTACAGTGTTGTTTTATAATAGAATTTTCAAAAGGCATTTATGAAACAAGTCCTTAAGATATATTAGTGTTTCCTTTATTCACAACCACCATTCAGTGCTCAGCATCTGATTGTCAGTAGAGAAGTTGAGCTATGGAAAAACTAGATCCTGAACCTGCTTAGAGGCTTCCTAATCTAAATATATTATCTCTGTCCCAATTCTTGATCTGTCATCTATTAAGGGAATATAACAGTATTTTCCATTTTTTTACAGAATTACCAATGTAGAAGTCAAATTTCTGCAATAAACATGCTTTTTGAAATTTTAATATGCAGTAGAAATATCATGTTATTTTAATTAATATTACTACCTTTATTGAAGGTTAATTTAGACTAATGTTAGAGTAGAAGTCTAACAGTCTCTCTGAAAGTTTCTATGTATTACCAGGCTATGTATAGTTACTTCTTTTCTTCAGCATTTGTTAGTTATAATGATTTTGTAGTTAAAAAATTAGAGTAGTCCCATAGCCCTTTAGGTTTTCTGTCTGTGTTCCTTAACACTCGTTAGCTTTTCTCTAAGCAGGGCTTGGCGTTAAGCATGATTTTTAAGGCTCAGTACTTGGTAACTGTCCAAAAATACCTAAACTAAATTAACACTTTCCCACTTCTGGCTTGTTTACATTAATATTATTATAGAAAATTGTCCACTAAAAAGAAAATTTGCTAAGCAAACACGTTGAAGTCTAGTTCAAAAGATCTTTTTGTAAATCATCAATAATTTAAAATTACTGAGTTTTAGAATGAAGTGTTTTACTCTATTTACAAGCAAAGAAAGCTAAAGTTTAGGGCTGTTTATGAAAAAAAAGGTTTTTTCAGTTTGGTAATTTTTTAACTACAAAATCATTATAACTAATAAATGCTGAAGAAAAGAAGTAACTATACATAGCCTGGTAATACATAGAAACTTTCAGAGAGACTGTTAGACTTCTACTCTATCATTAGTCTAAATTAACTTTCAATAATGGTAGTAATATTAATTAAAATAATATGATATTTCTACTGCATATTAAAATTTCAAAAAGCATGTTTATTGCAGAAATTTGACTTATTTTACATTGGTAATTCTGTGAACAAAATGGAAAATACTGTTATATTCCCTTAATAGATGACAAATCAAGAATTGGGACAGAGATAATATATTTGGATTAGGAAGCCTCTAAGCAGGTTCAGGATCTATATAATTACCACATAATTTTGAAAACCCAAGAGAAGTCAATCTTTTCTCACCTCAGCTCCTTCTCCCATGTTTTCAGTAACTAGTGTCATTAGCAATGATTTTTCGGGTTTTTATTTTTTCCTATAGTGGAAATGAGAATTAAAAATGTGGTAAGTCAAAATCTTCACTGCTCTGTTTCAGAATTATGAATGAGAATATAAAATTATGAGCTCATAATCCATTAAAACTAGACTCATCATCCAATCAACTCCGCAAGACACCTGGGGTGTTTGAGTGAACTTTCCTTGTCTATACTGCTTTGTAGTATCAGAAATCGATTCAGACCTCCTGCCTTGTGATTCCCACAAAGATTTTCACTATATTGCAGCAAGTCCAAGTTTTCTTATGGTACATAAGTGATAATGTTAAAGGAATAATATTTTAAAAGATTAAAATATGATAAAGACTCATATGTGCCTTTTATTGGAGGCAATATAAAATATGTTCTCACATAGAATTCCACTAAATAAATCTAATAAGACAGGCAAATTGTTATTTTTATTTGTGTGTACTTAAAACATATGGGACATTTAGAAAATTTTGCAAATTCATAGTGCCTGGGGCATTTCCATTAAGTTAGGCAAGGGGGAGAGAGATAGGGCTTTTATCATACAGAACATTTTCTGCTGCATTAGTAATTCAGGACTTGATTCTCAAAGTATCTATATTCCTTTTGACCTTTATGTCTTCATATATGTGGTTTTTCAAGACTGAAACAAAGTCCCTTCTTTACCTGATAATTGAAGACAGGATGAGAAGGGAGTTGCTATAATGTATATATTAAAAGAAAGAAAAGAGAAATTTCATATAATTTATGTTCTATTTAATTTTTAATCTATCATAGGGGATAGATGAAAATCTTGTGAAAAATGTTTGAGATAACAACTGTGAAGAGGAACCACTTTGACCACCTTAAAATTATTAGATATTAGTGTGGCTAGAGTTAAAGAGAGAAACAAAATGTCTATTAAAATAGCTCAATAAAGAAATGATAAAGTAAATTAGGGGAGAGTTGAAAAAAGAGATGGAGAGGTAGAGGAGATACTAAAGCTATTTAGGAGGCAGAATAGATGGGCCACGATTAGCTGGAAGGTGAAGGGTAATAGGTCATTGTTTAAATCCCAGACTCACACTCTTCTTACCAGGATGCAGTTACTTCCTCTGCCAGGAATATTATTGCAGATTTTCATCTAGATTATTTCATCTGGATAATTTCTACTCATCTCTCAAGGATCTTTTTTTATCTGATTCCATATCTTAAAGCCTAGCACAGGGTCTGGATTATGTTTTCAAAAGATATACATTAATAAGTGAATAGTGCACAAAAAATTGAAAAAATTCACAGAAAGGACAAAAGAAAAGAGACACAGCTAGAGCATAGTCTTTTCAAAGGAAGTGGTGGATTTCCAAGGTGTATTTGATATGAATACATCTGCTTGTCCTCTGAGTCACATGACATACATTTTTTTATTAGGAGACACTTTTGGAGAAGCTCATATTTCAAAGGAAGCAAGAAGAAAATGTCTATTTCATTTGTTACTTCCTGCTTCTAATTTCTAGTGTATGACCCCTGTGTTTTCTGTCTCCTACAATAAGATAATCCGGGCTCAGCTGTAGGAGACACATGCATTGTCTTCAATATTATATTTTTATCTTATGCATCCTAAAATACAGAAGAGACTATGAGTTTAAATAGACAAAATGGGATATAAAAGAGAGGAATTTATTTTTTCTGAGCCTAGAAATATTTAAGTGACTATATATCAAGAATATATTTGATTTTTTAAAAACATATCTTAATGATATTTCTTTAGACAGAAATTGAAGTTTAACAAGATTAAATTCTTATTTCAAGAGGCATTAAATAGCAGAGCTAAATTCAATTCTTCTTTAACAGAGACTACTTCTCTTTAACAAAGCATTTTATTTATTTTTTTACCCGTAAATATACATCCATTGCACTTTTATTAAAAAGCGATCTAATTATTACTTAGAATTACACATTTTAATTAAGTTATAGTTTTCTAAACCTGGTGGATAGTGTATAGGATCTTCAGTCTACTCAGAAACTCTGTGGCATGACCTATAAATCTATATATTATCAAATTTTCTAGCTGATTCTTATTCAGTCTATGACCTTGTACCAGGCTGAAAGTTATGTTTGTGAATCACTGCACTGAAGACATAAAGTAGAATTAATTCCCCTTTATAATCATCTAGCAGGAATATGAGTCATTAACAATATAGGCCAGGAGTATGATTAATATTATGAAAATGTCATGGCTGATCAAAGGGGAAAGAGATTTAGATTTTGGGTAAAAGTCTGGTAATTTTCCTCAGGCCTTTTTAGCCTATCTTTGGATGGATGAGCTAGGATTTTAAAAAGTATAATACAGTCTTCTTCAGAAACATCAAATATCATGAAATCAGATGTGGAAGTCAAAAGTTATGTATGTATGTATAGAGCGCAGGTATAGATGTGTTGCAATAAGAAAATGTCATGCAGTTCAGGGATATAATAGTGAAAAACCATCTGAAAATTTCAATTTCTGTCAGGTTTTGGGGGTCTTGAATGTTACTCAGAAATCTGGAATGTACACAACATGCACTGCAGACATGGGTAATTTTTTGACCAAGAGCAAAATATTTTTATCATGATACATAAAGAAAAAAGTTATAATTTAGCCTTGTACATAGCAGACGACCAGATGAGATTCTAGAGGTCAGAAGGCCTGTGAGCTTATCATTATGAAGATCATGAGGTAACGAGCTTTTGAACTAAGGTTTTTAATGAGAAATAAAAGGCACAGACACCAGAAAAGTCACAAAATGGCAAAGTCCACATCACAAAGCAGAAAGAGAAAATAAAATTAATCTAGTAATACTTTCAGAAAAAAAGCAAATCCTTACTATAATATTGGAAACTAATGGAAAAGAAATAGAGACTATAGGATTTTTTATAGTGCAGCATTCCTCAAGGAGATAAAACAATTATTACACATTGTTTTCTCCCTTCTTTCAGATTCCACATCGATTTCTACATTATTTCTTTCAAGCTTCATAATGGAATTGAATGCCTACTGAACACTAGAAAATGAGGTTTGCTTATTTAAAAGCTCCATAACTTTGAACATTTCAAATTTACTTCAGTCACCACCTTTGAAACTCTTATAAGTAATGCTAAACTTCAACTGAAAATCATGAAAAGTGTAACTTTTTCACAAAATAAGCTAATTTCACTTTTATTTTTAAAATTGTTACAGTATATATTTATCTTGTATGTTATAATACTACATTATATATTCATTTAAGCACACAGTGAAGACATATTCTTCTTAGAAGATTCTCAAATGCTCACAGACTTCAATCAATTTCTTCTTTGGGTCAGCTGTAGAACGTTTTTATTCACTTGCTCATTGTGCTAGGTTATAAGTCTATTCTTCTATCACAATTTTTTGCTGTATAAGACAACTTATAATAAGAGAAACATTCCTCCTTCATGATTAAGAGAAGAAAGGATCAGAGTGGTAGGAGGGAATGGAGTAGAGAGAAGTAGTAGAGTTATCTATACACAGTCAATAATAATCTTAGAGGAGGTTGCTCTTTTCAACATGCTGCATTTCCACAGAACAAAAGAGCAGGAAAAAAATTATCTAATACACAAACTTTCCATTTTGGTGGCCTGTTCTGCTTAAAGTCAGTCTAAGATAAGTGTAATATAATTCAATTTTCTCAATCTCTTTTAATGATATTTTTTCATCTGAATATCTCAGTATTTTAAAATGGCAATTGTAGATATTATTGACCCTATTTTGTAGAGGAGAGAAACTGAGGCTCACAAAATCTACTGCCCATAGGCAGATAACAAAAACTACCAACTGTGGGAGGCTGAGGCAGGAGAATAGCTTGAACCTGTGAGGCAGAGGTTGCAATGAGCCGAGATTGTGCCACTGCACTCCAGCCTGGGTGCAGAGTGAGACTCCATCTCAAAAAAAAAAAAAAAAAAAAAAAAGGATTCAATGAGAAATGTATGATACATTTTGGAATATAATGTCTCTTTCTAGTCCTCATTTTTCTTAAATAAAAAAAAACAAAAACATAGGATGGAGTTGTTTGCAAAATAGACTTTAGCCTTCTACTTGGCCATAAAGAAGAGCAATAATAATTATTTTTACATAGGCCTTTTAGATTGGCTTTGATGAAAGTTTGTTCCACAAAGAATCTGAGATAAGACCTTTTAAAGCTGAGCCGAGCCACGGGTTTGCATCCTCAAATATCTGTGAGTTGGGTGATTCTCTCCTAAGGTCCCAAGGTAAACCTGGAGCTCCTGGACCTGTTAGAAAGTGCAATTGTTTACTGACCACGGGTCAGGGACCCTGTACAGGGAATGCATAGGCAAGGGTATGAGGCCAGTTGCCCCACTGGGCATTTATCGGCTCTGCAATTTTAGATTGGCTCCTTAAAGGGAAGCATACCCTTTCAGCCAAAGCCTTGGTAAAATAACCACTTTCTCCAATTGTGTGCTGTTGCAAAAGAAAAATGGATTCTTATTGCATTGATACAAACAACTTATTGCCGTAAGAACACTTACTCACAGATCGTTTCCAAATTTTAGAGGAACCAGACAGGGAGAAACAAGGATGCCACAAATATTGATCGCAGGAGTATGCCTTACTCAATTATTAAAGGCTGTAAATAGTCCAAAATAAGTTTCCTTAACTCTGAAAGATAAAACAAAAATCAACAATATTCCATGGAAAAGTAAAAAAATTTGCTTCAGCTTCTGAGTTCGGTCCGTTTAGTTAATTCTTGTTTTGCTTGATATTCATGAGCATTTCAGATCTTCATGAGTTATGTACATTTTCCTTTATTCCAATGTTACAATCTCCAAAATTATCAAAAGCCTGTATTTGGGAGCACCTGTCAGTTCTATAGCTTATTATTAACCATCTTTTGGAAGGATTAAAATGAGACAACAATTGTCTGTGAATAGCAAAACGTCCAGGGTAGTTACAGTTAGAAACACGATTGGCAAAGATGTTTGGTTATCTCTGTGGTTTACAATAGCTTAACTTAACAACCTTAATTATGATTGATAGCATATACTTAGACATTAGAATCATAGAAATCCCATACAATTTTGAAAGATATATTAGCATTATTTACCAAGATATAACTTAAAGAAGATTGGACATCATTTTGGCAATCCCATGTACCTAAACAGGTCAAATAATCCTGTTTTCCTCTCTTTTCTGGATGTCTCAGGGTCCCTCTGAAACATCTGAAAAGCCAGGTGTCAGGAAAGACAAAATTTGAAACTGAAGTTTGATTTGGGAAGGGCTGTTAAATTTTCAAGGTTTCAAACACTTAATGTTATGAAATAGAATTCCAGATTACCATTAACTATTTATTTTCTCAAAATGATGACTCAGAAACTTTAAAGAAGCAAAAATATTTTATAACCTTTTTGAATTTAGTAATATGTTCACACAGACAACCTCTTCTACAAGATTAATTTCCACAGTTCTTCCACCACTTGTTTGAACCTTCAGCTTTTCCTAACTCAAAACGATCCTTTAACCCTAGGCAAAAATTTGTATTTCCATTCCTTCTTATAACCTTTTGCTAAACAACACATTTTACTGTTTTTACACACCTTGCATGTAAATCTGTTTTTAGTAGTCTCAGCTACATGTTATAATGGTAACTCCTAGTAATTTTTAACTAAGGTAAAACCTGGTAGGTTACTTCAATTATGTGCTAAGTTCAATCAAGGTTTGACTCCAGCATAATTAAGGGCGTGGTTAGTTCCATATATCCCCAGGCCTTACCAATTGTTAAGCAGGAAAGACAGACAGTTCTCAAAACTCAAAAAACAGTTTGTAACCTTAAAACAATTAGCAAATCTTGCATCTGACCTGCATTTTACCAGTAGTCTTTAGAGATGTTTTTATTTCTCAAAGATTAAAGTCAACATGAACTGACTTTATACTTGGCCTGATTATTTGCACAAAGTACACCAAGAACGGAAAGTACCACAGCTTTTATCTTCCCTTTAAAAAATATTAGCTTCAAGTGCGTGTCTTTCTTTAGGCCAAATTAATTAGAGCTCTTTTTGCAGACATCACATACAGTGCACACAGAGACAGGCAGAAGAAAACCCATTCACTGGGTGGGTACTTTAAGAGACAAGGGTAGGAAAACATGCAAATGTCACACCAGAGAGGGCTCATCCTCTAAGGCAGGATTGCTAAACAAAGCATTGCCACTGGAGTTACAAGCCATGCCCTCAGGATGTAAAACAAAATGGATGCTCGATTTCACAACCAAAACTTTGCAGAGAATACCAACAGTGATAGTTGGGGGAGCTGGCCCAGTAGCACACCTTCCAAAAGAAAAAGCAAACAAACAAACAAACAAAAACTTTTAAAGTTAACTTGCTGACAAGGTAGAAAAAGGGGAGGAAAAGAAACAGTTTAAAAATGCCTGGGGAATAACCTCTTATTCTTAGGGAAGTGGTTCCTCCACCAGGTGGAAAGCTAATCACTGTCAGATGGAGTTGAATCCCTTGGCGGGGAAGGTAATGGGTGCAGTGACCCATGGGTGGGAACGAGTCAGCCGGCTATGCAGAACCCTTAGGCCATGCGTCCTAGCCCCAGCAGGGAAAGGGGAGGAAAGGGGAAGCTTCCCCCTGCTTATACCAAAAAAGGAAAGAAAAGGCCATGAAAAGGTCCGGGAGCCACGGGATGTGGGGGCGTGGCTTTTTGCACCCTCAGAAGTCCAAGGATGAAAAGGCTTAGAAGCAACAGTGAGAGGTTTTGAGTCCCCATTTCGCTCACCGCTTCTCAAGCCCCCACGTTGGGCACTAGAAATGTTGCAGGATTTTTCCTCAGTTCAGCTAAAGATGGAGTTCTTTGTCCCATGGCCATGAAAATCCAGGCTCATAGACAATTTGAATGGTGAATAAGACAGGGTTTTACTGGGTGAAAAAGGAAGAAAAGGGGGAAACAGGAACTCTCCCTAGGCCAGAGTCCCTGCTAGAACACTCTCCACCAGCTGCATGAATCTCAGGTTTGAGCAAATAGCTCGAATATCCCAAGGTCCCATCCCAGGGAGTAGGCCAGTTGGAATTTTTCCAGGGACCACCTTCCACCTGGCTGTCTCAACATGGCACTAGACGAGATCTAAAGATGTAACAGAAGGCTTTATGGGGAAAGTAGAATTTACCATTGTTATTTGCCTTCTGTTCCTATTATGTTAGAGAAATCTTGCATTGCACATATAAATGAGTCAAATATTAGAATTAAAATCTACATTTAAAATTGTGCGCATATTTTGATTTTGTAGGGAGACAATGAAATTATTAATTTTATCTCATTTTCACAGTAGAATTAAGTGTTAACTTTGTTGTGGTTTTTGCAAAATAATTATCTTAGTTTCTGAAAGCAAACGATTAAAACAGCTAATGGTAATGGATTGTATTTCTAAGTTGAGAAAAAATTTTAAACAATGATTAGTCACTAGTTTTATTGGCAGAAACCTAGTGAACTTGAATCTGCCGCTTATTCAGTGTATGAATGGACAAACCACTTACAGTCTTTAGTGTCTTTTCTATAAAATAATACTCAAACAGGTTTATAGTATTTGTATATGTGGTGATGTGTGTCAACATATCTTTTGTAGATGTCAGAGTTTATTATAAAGCTTTATTCACAGAAAAATGAAGTTGTTTGTTGTATTTAAAAGATTTTCTTAACTCAAGAAATATCTGAATGATTAAGAAAACATCATTATATTACAGATAAGCTGTCTGAAACTGAACAAATAAGTTAGTATCAGTTTATGGATGTTACTTTATTCTTACTACCTTTTTAAAAAAAATCAGTATATTAAAATGGAAAATTTAGAAGTCAAATTATCTTTATGCTGTTATATACATATACAGGCTGCTATGGTCTGAATGTTTGTGTCTACCAAAATTTATAAACCTACTCCTCAATGTGATACTGTTGAGTTGGAGCCTTTGGGAGATTATTAGATTGTGGGCATTTACTCAGAGATTATATCCATCCATTAAATTTTACTGGAAAGATAAGAGCTAATAGATCATGAAGGTGGAGTCCCTATGAATGGGTTAGTGCCTTTATGAAAGAAGCAAAAAGGGGCTCTTTGGCTCCTCCCATCATGTGAGAATGCAGAGTAATACGCCCTCATCTGACACCAGGTCTGCCAATGCCTTGGTCTTGAATTTCCCAGCCTCCAAAATTGTGAAAAATAAATGTTTTCTTATTGTTTAAATTACTGCATTTACAGTATTTTTGTTACAGCAGACCAATGGACTAAGACTTAGGGTAAATTATAAAAGTAACCAAACTGCTTAATGAAAAAAAATGGCCATTTAAATAGATATTCTAGTCTAGTCTACCAAAAGAAAACTTGGTTTATGGAATTGACAGTGAAAGTAAATATAACTATCTATCAAGTCGTTTCAAATTACTCCACAACAGTTACTGATAACATGACCAGATATTTTAACTCATTTGCAAGTGTCAGCCATGATCATTTACTCTGGGTTTAAATCCATTCATTAAATTACACTGAAAAAATAAGAGCTAATAGTCAAAAGTTATTTGGTGGCTTAGTAATAATTTTCTATAAATTTGCCTTTTGAAATAAATATTCAGGTACACATGAACAAGCTTTAGTAAAATGTTCCATGCTAAGGTTGTGGAGGTTACTTGTGTCTAAATTTTGTATTGTAAAGATACACAATTATTTAATTCATAAAACCTTGAGTTCACTCTCTGTGGCAATTCATCTTCTGTCATTACTAATGGCAATTAGAAAAAATTTCAAATATGCAGAAATCTATTAATATAGAATATTACATGGCCAATATTAATATATTAATCATGTGATACAAACTCAAAGTATAATAATAAAGACATGAAGAGACTAGACAAGAAAAATAAGAGATAGGCCTAGTTTTTTGCAAGTACTAGGAACATAGGTGAAAGAATGGTTAAAAGATTTCAGGACAGAGAAACAACTGGAGTAACTTTAGACAGCTGAGTGTCAACATGATAGGGGAGATAGGTCGTGAGAATATCTGACTAAAAATTAGCAATAAAACTCTTATGGAAAATTCATATTAGAGAGTGATTAATCAATCTCTGAGCTTTTTATATAACAACTATCTGAAAAATGGCTTGCTTTTTTCAATAATAAAAATTGTAATGTATTTTCATATTTCTGTAGATTTGTAATTTCCTTTCAAATAGTTAATTACATTGTCTTCACAACACACCCATGAGGAAAAATATCTTTACGTTTATTTTGGATGTAGGAGTAATTTGCTCAATTTTACAATGTTAGTAAGTGATGAAACAGATAAGTGTACCATGTATAAGAATGCCCACCAAGGAAGTAGAAGTCAGGCTGAAAGTCACCCATGCGTTGCTTGCCAAATTCTCTAACTTGGTTGAGCACTAACAGCCAGGAGGAAAAGAACCTGTACTAGAAATCTCTGCTCCTCCGTATTTACTTGCCATCTTTTCCTACCCTGTTTTCTGACTGAGGATTTTGCTTTTGGCAGCTAATTGTGTTTGGTCAACAAGAAGCAAAAAAGAAGGGATTAAAAGCAGGAAGAAAAATATTTTTAGGATATTTATTTCCCAGTCTTCCCCTACAGACTGGCTGTTTTCTACCTGTCAAGCACTACAGTACTCTATCATACAGCTTTCCACCACTGCTTCCTTACCTTTCCCTTTTCATAGAAGACAAAATAAACCTTAAATATGTACAGTATCAATTAATTTTTTAAGAAGTCAAAGCCAGGTTATACCAAAGATCCTTGTGATGTGTAACTTTTGTATTATGATTTTCTTTAATTACTCTAATTTGGATTATGTTGATTTTTTTACATAGACCTTAACTGACAAAGAACCTACTTCTAGTTTGCCTAGAAGTGACAATTTCCTAATTTATTTGTCTTGAAGGAAAACTTTTAACAACTTTACAAATGTACTGAATCTTCTAGCATCTACTGAGGGTAAAGCTAATATTTAAAGCTGCGCCCTTCCATCAGTAATTCAAAAGGAATCTAGTACCATCTCTCCCACTGACCTGCTAGGTTAGATGCTCCATTTGACCTATCAACATCATCTTCTTTTCCATTATGTTAAATTAGTATATTGCACTAGATTTTTAAAGTATTTTCTTGGATTAAATATTCTTCTTTGTTTTTTTTTGGCTTTTCTTTTGTTTTGATGTTATGATTCTTTAAAATTTATACTTGGAAAAGTTTCTCACATTAAATAATCCCCAAACACAAACAAGCTGAAGTTTATTGAAATTAAATTTATGTAAATGCAGAAATGCAAACTTTTAAACAAAATATTAATATGTCTAGATTTTGTTTTAGTTGATATTTCTAATTATTTTTATATGTGGAGGCCTACACTCCAAACACTTAAATGCTTTAAAATGTAAAAAATATAAAGGCTTTTTTTAGGTCTTCAAGTCATTTCCTGCATATATACAAATATGACGTTGAACAATTCTGTGAGTATGCCCAAGGTATGTTTGTCTTCTTAATAATTGAGGAAACTTTGTAAAAATTGTTACAGTAATAGGTCAGCATAATTATGAAAATAAATTTAAAATTGTATATTTTAAACAAAATACAAGAATAGTATAGTGCTTTCATTTCCTCAAAGTGTGATTTATGCCTATACAAAAAAATGGATCTGAACCATGAAAGCAATTTTCTCTTGTGTCTAGTGTTTTCTTATCTACTGTATTTATATTTTGTAGAAAATATGTAATAGGTCCATTAAAATTCACAGAAATGAAGCCAAAGCATCATGCATGTAATTAATCTACAAACTCTAAGCCAAAAAACTTAGGGATTTTTTTTCTTAATAAAGGAAAAAGGAGAAGCATATCATTGATCTTTTGAGTGGAAAATTCTTTTTAATCTAATGCCAAAAGTGTCAGGTTAATCACAGTACAGCATAACTTGTGTTTTTCATGGCCATCTAAATAAAATTCTTTATAAATTATCAAAACTTTTTTTCTGCTCAACAGTTATCTCTTCCATCTTCTACTGAATGAATTTCAAATGGTTCACACTTAGCTGGACACTCGGCATGTCCAGTAACTCTACTGTCTGGATCAGATGTAATATTGACAGAAGTAAATGATACACTGTAATTCAAACGAGCTTCCAGTTTGAACATTTAAGATATACGTCTGTGTGTGTGTGTGTGTGTGTGTGTGTACAAAATATGTGTATATATTACAGTGAAGATTTTTCAAATAAAAACTAAAGCACTACTAAGGTAAAATATGCTGTAAAGCACATATTCATATAATTAAGAAATATATATATTTATAAAATATAAAATATGTAAAATAATTATATAAAATATAACTGAAAGTATAAAAAGGAAATATTCATTTTATGATCACTGGAAAGGAACAAAAATGTAACCTTTTCTTCTATTAGAGTATTAATTTAAAAATGGTTGTAACTATGTTTAAAAAAATGGAGTGTGAAAATTTTCATCTGATAGTATGACATCCTGGCAATCTGACCAAACATTCCACCGACTACAACCAGCTATTTCTGATATATTAGCACATATATTTTTAAAAATATGTATGATCTGAGCTTTTGAGAAACTCAAATACTGATTGGAAGTGAAAGCTTAAAATCAACTACCAGTTGAAAGAAACAGGGACAATAAAGCCAACTTTCACTGTTGGACATCTGCTAAGTACATTGAACTTTATTTTTTTATTACCACGAAACCCAACCTCAAGAATTATCACAAAAATATTTTTAAAAAATGAGTCCATAGTGAAACAATTAACCCTCAACACCATTAATGTGAGCTAGCATAAACAAAAAGAAGAAATAATAAAGCTCTGAAGATATAAGTTTATAAAATTAAGTACATTTAATGATAATGAGAAATGAAAGATCAATGAGGTAAAAGCAAGAATCCAGTAAAGGTGGCTAAGTTGACTATCCATTTGACCAGAGATTGGAATCAGAACATATGAAGAGTTCAAACAACTCAATAGCAAAGAAACAAAAGAATCCAACTTAAAATAGGCAAAAGACATGAATAGACATTTATTAAACAATGACATATGAATGACTAACAAGTACATGAAAAAATGTTAAACATCACTAATCATCAGAGAAGTGCAAATCAAAACCACTATGAGGTATGAGGTATCATCTCATCTCAGTCAAAATGTCTTTTATAAAAAAGACAGGGAAAACAGATGCTTGTGAGGATATAGAGAAAGAAAAACTCTTTTACTGTACTGATGGGAAAGTAAATTAATACAGCTGGAAAACTGTATGGAGTTTTCTCAAATAAGTAAAAATAGAACTAAGATGCCATCCAGCAATTCCACTACTGGGTGCATATCCAAAAGAAAGGAAATCAGTGTATAAAAGAGATGTGTACTCACATGTTTATTTCAGCACTATTAACAATAGCCAAAATATGGAATCTATCTAAGTGCCTGTCAACAGATGAATAGGAAAAAAAATGTGGTGTATATAGACATAATGGAATATTATTCAGCCATAAAAAATAAAATCCTGTCATTTGCAGTAACATGAATGGAAGTGAAGGTCATTATGTTAATTGAAATAAGCCAAGCACAGAAAGACAAATATTGCCTGTTTTCACATGTGAGAGCTAAAAAATTGGATCTCATGAAGATGAGGATAGATTGGTGGTTACTAAAGGCTGGAAAGAGTAGCAAGGAGGGAGGAATGAAGAGAAGTTGTTTAATGTGTACAAATGTATAGTTTGTTAAAAGAAAGATTTACCATTTGATAGATCAGTAATGTGATTATAATGAACTATAATCTTTTGTATGCTTCAAAATAGCAAGAAAAGAATAATTTGGATGATTCTAGCATAAAAAAGATACATTTAAGGTGATGGATATTCCTATTACACTGATTTGATCTTTACACATTGTATGAATGCATTAAATTATCACATGTACCTTGAAAATAAGCACATCTTTTATGTATCAATAAAAAATTAAATTATAAAAAAACTGGCATTAACATAGTAAATTCAAAAAGGAAAATAACCTAATTGAACATATATAAATCAGCACTAAGTAACATCAATTTAAAATTCAGTGGATGTGTTAGTGGAGATAAGACACAACAGGAAAGTTACTCCTGAATATGAAACATAAGTAATTATTGAGAATGTGATTTAAGAAGAAATGCAGTAAAATATACCAAAGTATGATTAAGCTACAAGTTTATGCAAAGAAAAATGTAAAATATCTTTAATCAGAATTTTGGGAATAAGTAGATAGAATGAACACAGACATATATGAATAGATAATTACCACAAAATTTCAAAATTGGTAAAAGAAAACAGTTCACAGAAGCTCAAGGACTCCCAAATGAGATAAATAAAAGACGCCTGCTCCTAGCACATTGCAGTAAAGCTGTAGGACACGAGAGCCAAATAGAATCTCTTAAAAATGGCAGAGAATAAGAAACATTGCCCTCAACACATTTGCAATTAGACTTATAGTTGATTTCTACTGGTAACAATTGAAACCTGAAAATTTTGAAATAATATCACAAACTACTAAGAGAAAAAAATTGTAAATTCCACTGAAAATAAAATTTATGAAGTGAAAAAACAGATGTTAAGAAAACAGCATATGCGACTGCCAGAAATGGACTCACATCTTCTGAAATTTCTTAGGATATAATTATATCAGAATGAAAAGAATTTAGAAGTATATTCATGATTATACAATGAAGAACAAAAAGCAAAGAATATAATGTGCATGTCAGTAATGAAAATAAACATTGCTTGAATAAGCCAATATTAATATTCCTTGTAGGAATTGAAAATATTAAATTGCAATAATGGGTGATGATTTGGAAAAATTTGAGAAAAGTATGATAAAATATAAGGTATTCTAAATACTATTTGTGATAAAGGTAATAATATCAACTGACTTAAATAAGTGAGAATTAAAACTTTTAAGAAAAAACTAAAAAGAAATATAACAGTTAATTTTGACTAAATTGAGGAGAAAATTGCATGAGAACAAATAATCACAAAGGCAGAAAACGTCAAAAATGTAGAAAAGTTGAGAATGTTTTATTGTTGTTGAATCAAAGACTCAATGACTTGCTTTTAACTAGTTTTAACCTCTAAGCTTTTACAAGTGTAATCAAACAGGTGAGAATGGTACAGGATATTTCCCAATACTTCTTATATAAACCCAAATTTTTGCTCTTTTTTGGAGCAAAATAACTATTCACTGTTTACAAGATTATTCCCAAGTTGTGAAAGTTCTGTCATATTTGAGAAAATTTTAAGGACAACCCATACAATTAAAAATAACTGTATATAGATTAATAATTACAATAAATATAATTAGACAAAATAATTGAGTTAAGAAACATAAAGTTTATCAAAAATGGACTCTTCCAGAACTATCTACATATATGCTGTTCAAAAGAAACATCTAAAACAGCCAACAGAAAGGTGAAAGTAAAATGAGCAAAGATCTATATACCTACTTATCTATGTATACATTCATCCATATATGCCTCTCATCTACATATCTAGACCGCAAACACTGACATATTAAAAGAAAAAATAGACACATCAGTAATTAAAGAAGACAAAAATAATTAGGCTGTATATGATTTTAACAAGGTTCATTTAATGAACAAGTTTATCATATGAAAACTAACAGGAATATATATTGATTAAGGTACAAAAAGGATAAAAAATTAAGTATTAAATTTCAAAAAATTGATACAATAAATCACAACTGTCTAGGATCACAGATACAATTAAATAAATAATAAAGCAAGATAATAAAAAACCCTATATTAATAATTACTTTGATAATGCCATTTGAGATAGACAAATTTTAAGTAAAAATTATAAAATAAATAATTATAAAATAAGTAATAAACAAATAATAAATAAATAAATAATAAATAAATAAATAATAAAGCAAGATAATAGAAAACCCTATATTAATAATTACTTTGATAATGCCATTTGAGATAGACAAATTTTAAATAAAAATTATAAAATAATTTGAAAAAATTATAAAATAAGTAGAAAATGATGAAAATTATAAATAACTAAATTATAAACTATAAATAACTAAATTATAAATAACTAAATTAATATGTATAACTAATGCAGAATATACATGAGATCTTATGTTCATATTTATAATAAAATGAAAGAATCTGGAAAATATGACCTAAATACCAAACTTCAGGAGAAAAGAATAAATACAGATGAAAGTGCAAATATACAAATATAAATGAACATATTTAAGGAAATAAAAAATAATGATTTGGGCATCGTGGTATGCACCTGGAGTCCCAGCTACTCAGGAGGCTAATGCAGGAGGATTGTTTGAGGTCAGGAGTTTGGGGTGGAGTGCACTATGATCACACCTGTGAATAGCCACTGCACTCTTGCCTGGGCTACATAGTGAGATCCCATCTTTAAAAAAAATGAACAACTAATAGAAATACAAAATATGACTTAGAAGATGGTGATTTGGAAAGACATAAAACAAGCAAAGCGTTATTCTTCAGGAAAAAAGAGACAAAGCAAATATATACAATGATAGGCATGGAAAAAGAGGACATAATGTAGGTACCTGTGTTTTCACACATAATTAATGTTTAATTTTTAAAAATGATAATTATTTTGAAAAGATAAGGCAAACAAATGAATTTCAAATTCAGTATTAACTTGAAAAGCTGACTACAAAATAAATTAAAAATTTATTTTTATGACGCCTGTAATCCCAGCACTTTGGGAGGCCGAGGCAGGTGGATCACGAGCTCAGGGGTTCGAGACCAGCCTGACCAATATGGTGAAACCCCGTTTCTACTAAAAATACAAAAAATAGCCAGGCGTGGTGGCAGGTGCCTGTAATCTCAGCTACTCAGGAGGCTGAGCAGGAGAATTGCTTGAACCTGGGAGGCGGAGGTTACAGTGAGCCGAGATTACACCAATGCACCCTAGCCTGGGCAACAGAGCGAGACTCCGTCTCAAAAAAAAAAAAAAATCTTATATATTTTATAGCTTAAAAAATATTGGTTGTCTTCCAAGATGGAAACACTTAGCTCAGAAATTATTTTTACCAACAAGTATATGTACTCAAGAAATAAGTAATGTCATTTTCTATATTGAAATTCAGATTATAGAAAATAGGGAACAATTACCACTATTTTTTTAGGATTAACATATCCTATATATCAAAACATACAAGGACAGTACGTAAAATGATTACAGGTGACCTCACTTATTAAAATAAACACAGAATTTTAAAGACAATTTAACATGCAAAATCTAGTGACTCTTAAGTAAAAGTATATTAGGAAGAAATTATATTTATTCACAATATGTTGTTGATTTAACATGAAAGAAATGAGATAGTGTATCATATTGAGAATTGAAGAAAAATAATATCATCTCAATAGATGAAGAAAAATACAATAAAAACTCAACATTTGTGGTTATTAAAAATTTAAAACCAAAAATAATTAGAAATAAAAGTGAACATTCTTAACTTGATAAATGGTTATCTACAAAAATCTCTTTCAAAATTTTATAATTCATGATGAAACATTGTGTGTTAGGCCATTCTTGCATTGCTATAAAGAAATACTGAGGCTGGGTAATTTATAAGAAAAGATGTTTAACTGGCTCATGGTTCTGCAGGCTGTACAAGAAGCATAGCACTGGCATCAGATTCCAGTGAGGGCCTCGGGAAGCTTACAATCATGGCAGAAGGCAAAGGAGGAGCAGGTGTCTCACGTGGCAAGATCAGCAGGAAGGAGTGGAGAAGGTACCACAAACTTTTAACTGGTCCTTCTTGTGTGAACTCCCAGCGAGAAAAACACTCTACCATTGGGATGGTGTTAAGTTGCCCAATAAGGATCTGTTTCCATGAACCAAACACCTTCCACTGGACCCCACTTCCATCACTGAGGATTACATCTCAACATGAGTTTAAGAAGGGACACATACCCAAACTATATTACATTGAAAGCATTATTTTATTTATTTTTTTATGTTTTTATTTTTTATTTTTTGAGACAGAGGCTTGCCTTCTTGCCCAGGCTGGAGAGCAATGGCGCAATCGCAGCTCACTGCAAGCTCTGCCTCCCTGGTTCACGCCATTCTGCGTCAGCCTCCCAAGTAGCTGAGACTATAGGCGCCCGCCATCACGCCTGGCTAATTTTTTGTGTTTTTTAGTAGAGACGGGGTTTCACCGTGTTAGCCAGGATGGTATTGATATGCTGACCTCTTGATCCGCCCACCTCGGCCTCCCAAAGTGCTGGGATTACAGGCGTGAGCCACCGCGCCTGGCCGAAAGCATTATTTTTAAGAGTGTGCATTATACGCAATTTTAATGGTCCTCATGCTCATCACTTTTATCCATTATTGTGGTAAATAGTGTAGTTCACATAGATTTTAAAAATCAAATAGTTATAATGAAAAGTTCCAGAAAGAAGGAAAAATTCTCAAGCAATGCAGATAATACTATTCTCTAGTAAAATCAAATGAATCTATGGCTACAATCACAAAGAACTATAGAATTTTGAATGTTTGCCCAGTGCAAAATTAATATACAAAAATTGGGTACATTTCTACATACCACCAACAAATAAGAAATTATATTAAAGTACACCAATTAATATAATGTAAATAGTTATTTTAATATTTAAAATAATATGAAAAATAAACGATCAATCTAGAAGAATGTGTGCCAGTAGTATAGGGAGAAAACTGTTAAATTTTTGAAAGACTTTAATAACAAATTTAGATATATAACATATTCTTACGTGGAAAGATTAAATACAGCAAAGATTATAACTCTCTCCAAATAGATATATGGGTTAAATATGATTCCAAAGTCCCACAACAGTCTTTCAAGGAATTCTAAACTTTATATAAAACATTAATAATCAAGAAATAGCAAGACAATCATAATGCAAAAATAACAGGAAGTGGTGGTGTTTTAGTCAGCGCAGTCTGCTGTAACAAGTCCCAAAAACACAAGAGAAATTTCAGTCCTAAAGGCAGGAAGTTCAGGATCAAGGTGCTGGCTGATTCAGTTCCTGTTGAGGGTCCTCTTCCTGATTTGCAGACGCACATCTTGCGGTATTCTGTCTTGGTGGAGAGTGAGAGGAAGCAAGCTCTTTTGTTTCTTTTGATATAAGGTCGCTAATCTCATCACAAAGCTTCCACCCTCCTAACCTAATTACCTCCCATAGGCCCTATCCCCAAATACCATCATGTTGGGGATTAGAATTTCAGCATATAAATGTTGGGGAAACACAAGCATGCTGTCCATAACAGAGTACCTGTATTATACTACAACAATAATTAATTATTCATCTAAGATTTTAAAATGTGTAATATTACCAGAGACTAGATATATTGAACAATTAAGCAGAAGGACAAGAAACAAATATCACTGTTAAGAAAACCTGACTTATAGCACAAATGGTATTGTCAGTCATTGCAGAAAGAAATAACTTTACAACAATACATGCTGAGATAATTAACTACACTTATGCCAAAAAATGAAACTGGGTATCTACCTCACAGCATGAACAAAGATCTGATGAATTGAAAATTTAAATATGAAAGGAAAACCTATAAAGTTTACAGAACTTATAAGCAAATATTTTAAAACATAAAGCTAGTAAAGGATTTCTCAAATCAGAGGCATGATTACCATAGGTAAAGACCGACACATGCGACTGTATCAAAATAAGAATACCTATTCATTAAAATAAATTATAACAAGTATGAAGACAAATCATGAACTGAAAGAAGATGTTTAAACTAACATAACTTATAAATTTAGAATATATAGGAGCCATCTACAATGCTTTAAAAATTACCCAATAACATGGGCAAAAGACACAATTCCTAGTAAATAAAACTTTAATAACCATTAAATATATGAGGATGTTAAACTTTTAAATAATCAGTGGAATTAAAATTGAGCCCACAGTGATAAATTAACTTATACTGACCAGATTAGTAAAATATTAAGCCTGAAATATTAGTGTTGGTGATGATATGAAGTAACTGGAACACTTGTATACTTTGATGGGAGTGCACATTGATACAACTGCTTTAGAAAGCAATTTTGCTTGTCCTAACAGGAATGAAACTACTCATACCATATTATGTAACAATTCTATTTCTAGGTGTATATCCCTGAGAATCTCTTGCACCTGTGCTCCAGGAGGCATCTATAAAAAGTTTCATGATATTATTTGTTATACTACCTTTTAAAGTTGAGAATAATTCTAATGTTTGACAAATTTTATACAAATCTTTTGTAATAATTAAGAACATATTGTATTCTTGACAATGCAAAGAGAGTAGATGTTAAGTGCTCTCACTGCAATAATAACTATGTGTGGTAATGTATTTGTTAGTTAATTAGATGTAAGCATTCCACAATGTATTTATATATACATTAAAACATCCTGTTTACATGATACATACATATCATGTTATCTGTCAATGTGAAATATTTAAAAATGAAAAAAGAATACATTACAGTTATTTACAAAAAACATAGGTGAATTTCAGGAGCACAATGTTAAGTCGAATAAGCAAGTTGCAAAAGAATACACACAGTGTATTCTTGTAGTCTCTAGTATTAATGTCGCCAGTAAACTGAGTTCTCTGTCTACATTATATTGGTCTCAAAGAAAGAACACGCAATTAAAGCAATCAGGTTTTATTCACTGGCCAGGGAACAGGAAAAGGGAGGTCTCACTCTAAAGATACCTTCTCCCTCAGTGATTGGAAGCAAGGGGATTTTAAAGAACTAGACGTGAGTTGAGGGAGGTGTGTAAGCATGCACAAAATGGAGTTACAAACACGCAGGTGCAGTCCCCAAACGTACTTCATAGATCGCAAGGCAGCAATTTTCCTTTGGGGAGGGGATTCTAACACTATAATGATATGTGAACAATCTAAAGGTAACTAGGGTAGCCGGTTCTGGTTTGCACCCATCTGGTGCAGGTCTCATCTTCCTTCTGTGTTTGGCAAAGGATCACTGGACCATCTGGAGTTCTTCAAGCAATAGTACCTATAGATAAAGAGACTAAGGAAAGTTTAAGAAAACAGGAAGCTTTTCCAGCTATTTTGCTAAGGTTGCCATGGAATATTAATATAAAGTTTAAAAACATCCAGACACAGATAAGTATTTGTTCAGGGACACAGGTACGTACTTAGAAAACTACGGGAAGCTGGAGAATGGCAGACATAACATGGAAAGTATGATTTCCTCTAGTAGGAAAAACTGAGTTGAGACAAAGTAAGGACAAACAAGCAATCTCCCGAGGTAGTATTATTCTTTTTAACTTTTTTCCCAAGGAACCTTTATATATTCATTTAGAGACAAAGTCTCATTTTGTCACCCACAGTTCACTGTAGCCTTGAACTTCTGGGCTCGTGGTCCTTCACCTCAGCCCCACAAGTAGCTGGGACCACAGGCCATGCCACCATGCCTAGCTACTTTTTTTATTTTTATTTTTATTTTTTGTAGGTACACGGTCTCATTATGTTGCCCAGCCTGGTAGGAAACTCTTGGCCTCAAGTGACTCTCTCTCCCTGACGTCCTAAAGTGCTGGTGTGAGCAACCACAGCCCACCTGTTCTTCGTCACAACGGCTATGCTGGATACATAAGTGTTTACTCTAAAATTCACATCTTTTAATAAATATTTGTATTATATTCACTGTTTAACATGCATTAATAAATGTAAGGGTTAACAAATTAAATAAGGAAATAAGCATTATAAATTAAGATTAATCAATCATTTGGAGTCAGAAACAGGAAGTAATGATAGAGGAGCCTGTCATTCAATCGAAGGAACACTGAATATTTACCAAGTGAAAACCACCTTGAGATTTGTAAAACCAATAACTGAGAGTCATTGACTTCTAGAAATTCATGATTTAAAGAAGAGATGAATTCTGATGCTAATTAAAACAATTGATGTGGGGCTTGGAAGATTGATTTTGATCAGGATACCTAACAATTGCAAGGCAAGAACTAGATTTATAAAAATCTAAAGACTTGGACAAGCCTTTTAGGTTTCTTCTGTAAAGACATTAAAGGTGGGCAGTTAAGGCAATCACTTCACAAAACTTGTCTTCTGCAGCCTCAAGGGATGTATGTGAGGATGTAGAAGGGAAAGTAGAAGCCTTTTAATATGTGTACACGGAGAATACAAACAAGGCTTGCATGGAGTTTTCTCATAATGACCTTGCCTGCAGGTCAAAATTATGCTAGAAAGAACAATTAGAAATGATGGTATAAAGCAGAACAGGGAAATGGTAGAGTCCGGTCTATATTGGAATGTTCACATTTGTTATGGTCTAGAGTCTAGTAAAATCTCAGTCGAAATTACACCTGAAATGTTAATGTCACGTTTCATGTATTATTCAGGAAAACGTAGTTTATATAAGGACAATTCAATGCAGAAGGCAGGATAAAATGGCCAGAGCCTTGAATATCTAGAACCTATAGGTAATACTAGTTTCCTAGGGCAGTCATAAAAAGCTATTTCAAAATGTGCAGCTTAAAACAACAGAAATGTATTCCCTCACAGTTCTGGAGGCTAGAAGTCCTTAGGTAGTGTTGACTTTTTCAGAAGTGTCTGTTCAATGCTGATATGATTGGGATATGTCGCCACCCAAATCTCATCTTGAATTGTAACCCCTATAATCTCCATGTGCCAAGGGAAGGACTCAGTGGGAGGTGATTGGGTCATGGGGCCAGTTTTCCTCATGCTGTTCTCATGATAGTGAGTGAGTTCTCACAAGATCTGATACTTTTATAAGGTAATTTTTCCTGCTGTTGCTCTCCCTTGCCTGCCACCATATGAGATGTGCCGCTTCCCCTTCCGCCCTGATTTTAAGTTTCCTAAGGCTTCTTCAGCCATATGGAACTGTGAGTCAGTTAAACTTCTTTTCTTTATAAATTACCCAGTCTTGGGCAGTTCTTTATAGCAGTGTGAGAACAGACTAACAAAAATGCCTTAATGCCTTTCTCCTATCTTCTGGTAATGGCTGGCAATCTGGGGTTTTTGGCTTTTGGAATCCTTACTCCAGTCTCTGCTTCTGTTTTCACAAAAAGTTCACTTTGTGTTTCTTTGTCTTCAGATAGAATTTTTCTTATAAGAACACAGGTCATATTGGATTTGGGCACACCCTAATGTCCTTGTCTTAACTCGATTGGATTTGCAGATACCATATTTTCCAATAAGATTATGTTTACCAGTTGTAGGGATTGTAAATTAAACATATCTTTGGTTGGAAAAATTTGTTATTCATATGAAATTTCATTCTCATTGTAAAAAATTTCCCTTCTCCATTATTTAAGTTACAAGAAATATGCCTTTTCCATTTATAAAATGGAAAAGTATCAATCATAATGTTATTGTGTATGTAACTAAGTGGTTAATTTTTAAATTTAACAGCTTCCTATATGTTATTACTTAGATACAAATTATTAGCTGTTTAGGCACCAAAGACTGTTCTTTCATCATTCCATATTTTACTGACATACAATAATTACACATACTTTATTTCTATTTTTCTACTACATTTATTCATTCTAACTTTAATAAAGCAACTACACCTCAGCTAAGAGAATACCTAGTGTAATTGATGGGCAGCTCAAATAGAAATGAATAAAATGCATACTCCGTACAGTCTTAAGTGGTCCTTACAATACAAATTGATTTGTTATTCAGCAAAAGCACCACAATAAAATAGGTGAGAAGGAGAAAGACCCATTATTTATTTTAAACACTTAAAAAATTGCTTTCTAAAGGTCATATCAATGGAGAATACTACATTAATTATAATATTTTTCAGTTCTGACACTTATACTGCAAAAATTGACCTAATTCTTGTGTAATTTTCTACAAATGCTCTTTTATTTTCTTAGCCCTGCAGTAAGTTGTTAAAATTGGTCTTCATACTATGATCAGAAATGTGTAGTTTCAAAATACAGATCAGACATAAAGATTAACTTAACCACTCTCTGGCACAAAAAAATTTCAATTATAAGCCAGTCAAATGTAAATGTAGTAAGAGGAGACTTACACATTGTAAGAATAATTGAGCTTCAGTTATATTTCATAATATAGAAATATTCATTTTTTTTTACTAACGGTCATTTTTGAAATTTTTCCCGCAAATTTAACATTATATTTTCTCTGAAACTGGATTAAAATTAGGGTCAATTTGTTACCTCACATTTTATATAGAAGAAAGAGAGAATAAAGATGAAGATAGTCTTCTTCTGTTATTAAATATTAAATGTAAAGTTCTTTAAGTAACAAAATTCTAATTATTTAATTATATAAACATTAATTGTTGAAAAATAATTTAGTCAGTAGCCTATTATCATAAGATACATAGATTTATCTGTTAATATTTAATATATTATTTTTAAGGCTAATTATTGTAGGCAGAAGCTTAGAATAATTTATAGATAGGTATATGAAATTAACCATTTTTCTAAGTGTAATCAAATCTTGGCATTATAGTCTGTATGCCTAACACAACAATGAATTTCTAGTAAAACTCAAAGGCACACTGCTTCCAGATTGCTCTAGTTGCCAGTTGAATGATTATTTTCTCATTTGGACTTCCATGTTAGCAATGATTCTGGTTTCTATTCTTACTGTTTCTTTTAATGGTAACATAATCTGCTAGACAGAATGTGAAACTGCAGAAATTTATAGTTATATTAGGTATAAATAGGAGTGTTGCCAGAGTGGCTAGTATTTTGCTAGCAATAACAAAATTAATGAGAGAGAGAGAGAGAGAGCACGAAAGAGAGAGAGAAAGAAGGAGAGATTTTCAGAGGAAAACATGGAAGATGAGATAAGGAATTGCTTTATTAAAAAATAAGAAATTCCAATATAAATAATTCAGTACTGTCATTTCATACCTGTACATGTTGACAACATGTTTGCTTTCACATTCTTATCCATGATCTTTTAAATAATTTTAGAATAGAATGGAGTCCCATGTCCTGCAGTGCTTCTAAAATTGATTTGCAATGCAACATTTGTATAGTATTTGTTAGTATTAACTCTAACATCACTATGTGTTTTCTTTTTATAATGTTTGAAAGGGCACTAATGAAATGGCAAGGCAAATACTCAGATGCCAGCAACAACTAATCCAAAACCTTACCACAGAAAAAATATTTGTGATTTTTAAAAAGTACAATGACTTAACTATACGTGATCAGCTATTAATCAGTTATTTTAGAAACCAGTGAAACGTTTTACTGACATGCTAGATTTTAAATAAACCACATATTGTCAAAAAAATTTCCTAAACATTTTCATAAGGAAAGAATATCTATGTATTTACTGGGTTATATGCATATAGAATATGTAATCGAATTTGTGAATATTTCACTACTCAGGGATTGTATTGGTATTGCATGGCATGGACTTACTGAAATTTTATTTAAATTATGTAGAATGAATTTTTACCAAGCCCTACATTTGCACTCATAACATTCTAATTTGCTATTCATTTATTTTTATATAATTTTAAGTAAACCTTAATACAAAGAATCAGATAACCTCCAAAAGGGGAGAGAGAGAGGATAGTATAATAGTACATAAAATGTTTGTTTGCTTACACAGCAGGATAGAATTGTTGCTTAAAATGTAGTTGTCATTACTTTGAAACAAAACCAAGAAAACCTAGAGATTATCAAAGGCTTTTTCAGTAAAATTGAGAAAATACTTTGAATAATCCTCATAGGGTTCTGGAAAATATTTGATGAGCTAATATTACAGGTATAAGTTCTAATATTTTCCATATGCTTTATAGTCATTTTCAAATAACTATAAGATTATTTTAATGAAATTTTATTAAAGCTGTCAATAATTTATTACTAATTAAAACTTTTTTGTTAATGCTTTAAGTGTAAAATAAATAGAAACATTGTACTATTTTGGACTATCAATAATATTTCCCACATAGAGAAACACAAAATAGTCTCCATTCTATCAGAATCATAAATTTAATTTACGCTTATTTTGCTTATTTATGTTTAAAAAATGAATGAATGGTAAATAGTTCAAATTGATCACTTAGCCTTAATGAGTTACTACTGATTATATGATTTAGAAATCATATATATATAATACTTACTGTTGTTTCATTTGGCAAGATGAAACATGTAGATAATATATATACCGGTCTATATCACTCTCTTAGCCAAATGTAACAGTTATACTTGTGTAAAGAAACAATTAGATAGGAAAAGAAACAATTTTAATTCAATTTATAGGGAGAAAATGTGATTTATTATTTCAACAAATGTTTAATTCGTTTCTGATAGTTTCTGACAAAAAAGGGTCAAAAATTATTTGAGCTCTGCCTTTAATGAGTTTTATGCTATCAGTACGGACATCAATAAAGTAATATTATAAATAAATATAAAATAACTTTATTATTTTTTATTACCACATTTGAAACAGTGGAATAGGTTTTTGATTTTTGCTTGAGAGTAAAATTTACATTTTTGCCTAGTGGAAAAATAATTTGACTTACAGAGAAAATGTGTTTTAATTGAGCAATTTCAAATCTGAGTTAACCAACATTGAAGCTACTGCAGATCAAATTTTCTTTTTTTGTTGTGTCTCTGCCAGGTTTTGGTATTAGGATGATGTGGGCCTCATAAAATGAATTAGAGAGGATTCCCTCTTTTTCTACTGTTTGGAATGGTTTCAGAAGGAATGGTAACATCTCCTCTTTGTACCTCTGGTAGAGATCGGTTGTGAATCCGTCTGGTCCTGGACTTTTTTTGGTTGATAGGCTATTAATTGCTGCCTCAATTTCAGAATTTGTTATTGGTCTATTCAGGGATTCGACTTCCTGGTTTAGTCTTGGGAGGGTGTATGTGTCCAGGAACTTACCCATTTCTTCTAGATTTTCTAGTTTATTTGCGTAGAGGTGTTTATAGTATTCTCTGATCGCAGTTTGTGTTTCTGTGGGATTGGTGGTGATATCCCCTTTATCATTTTTTATTGCATCTATTTGATTCTTCTCTCTTTTCTTCTTTGTTAGTCTGGCTAAGCGGTCTAGCTATTTTGTTGATCTTTTCAAAAAACCAGCCCCTGGATTCATTGCATTTTTGAAGGGTTTTTTGCGTCTCTATCTCCTTCAGTTCTGCTCTGATCTTAGTTATTTCTTGCCTTCTGCTAGCTTTTGAATGTGTTTGCTCTTGCTTCTCTAGTTCTTTTAAATGTGATGTTAGGGTGTCGATTTTAGATCTTTCCTGCTTTCTCTTGTGGGCATTTAGTGCAATACACACTCTACACACTGCTTTAAATGTGTCCCAGAGATTCTGGTACATTGTGTCATTGTTCTTGTTGGTTTCAAAGAACATCTTTATTTCTGCCTTCATTTCGTTATTTACCCAGTAGTCATTCAGGAGCAGGTTGTTCAGTTTCCATGTAGCTATGCGGTTTTGAAGATGATAGGTGTGAGATCAAACCAATAGAATTTAATTAAGAGTTGGATATACACATTTTACAAAAAGGGTGGTGTTAAAGATTAGTGAATGGATGATGAAAGCATTTATCAAGTCATGAAGGTTGAGCTCTTGGAGTTTTACTATTCTTTGAAACATACATTTAAATAATTTAACTATATTTTCAAAAGGAGACATACATACAGCCAAAAAACATGTGAAGAATGCTCAACATCAATAATCATTAGAGAGATGCAAATTAATACCACAATGAAGATACTATCTCACACCAGTCAGAATGGCTGTTATTAATTAAAGAAATAGCAGTTGCTAGGGAAGTTGCTGAGAAAAGGGAATGCTTATAAACTGCTAGTGGGGATGTAAATTAGTTCAGCCATTGTGGAAAGCAGTGTGAGAACCTAAGTACTCAAAGAACTTAGGACAGAATTAACATTCGACCTAGCAATTGCGTTGTTGAGTATAAGTGGAAGCTAAACATTGAGAACATATGAACACAGAAAAGGGAACAACAGACTGTATGGCCTACTTGAGAGGTGGAGAGTGTGACGAGGGACAAAAACTACCTGTCGGGTACTCTGCTTATTACTCGGGTGATGAAATAATGTGAACACCAAACCCTTGTGGCATACGATTTGCCTGTATAACAAACCTGCATATGTATCCCTAAACCTAAAAAGTAAACATAATAATACTTATTATTACGTAATATATAGTTAACAATAATAAAGTCAAATGAGATAAGCATGGAAGTAATACCTGTTATGTATTTTGGTGGTGGTTTTAATAATAATGAGAACTAGTTTAATGAAAACACTTGATTAACCAGAGAACTGAATGATATGAGGAGAAAATAAAAATTGAGCAAACAAAGATGAATCTTTCCAAAATTTCAGCCATGAAGGGAGAGGGAAAAGTGATTAATGAAAGAATCAGTGTTGAGTTTTCTTTTAAAAGTTTTTCAGTTACAGTTTGAACATATTAATACTGATGGAATGAATCCAGTAATAAGAGTAAGTTGACTAGATGAGAGAGAAAGAGACAGAAAGGATAGTAAAGGAGGAAAAAATGGAGGGAGGATGATAAGAGAAAAAGAGAGGGAGAGAAATAGAGAGAGATATTCCTGAGAAGGTACGTAGTATCATTAGGATGCAACAGGCAGAAAGTTTATTCCCAAGTGAGGAGTTGGAGTTAGTAATACCTGTTGAAATCCAGATATAAGAGTTCCATTGAATCACTGCAAATATTTACAAATATTTTTTTCAAAGAATTGGAAGGCAATAAAATTACAATAATTTTTTTTTAATTACAAGAAAATGGGATTAGGAATATTGGCAGAGTTATCTGTGAACTCACATCAATGATGTGCATCAGTGCTTTTGAAATATGACAGTGCTTTATTCAGAAATATTATCCTACAAATTTATTAAAAATTTATATTATAATCTGCAAAGGTGTAAATATAGGGATATATAAAAACGGGAAACATTTAGAGTAACTGTAATGGATCACAAGTTGGTCTCTAGGGAAACACAAAGTATTAGTGTGCTTATGGCAAAGTATTTAGATATGAGATTTAACTTAATTAAACTATGTTAAAAGGGTTCCAAATTAGCCGGGCATAGTGGTGTGTGCCTGGAGTCCCAGCTACTTGGGAGGCTGAGGCAGGAGAATTGCTTGAACCCGGGAGGCGGAGATGCAGTGAGCCAAGATCGCACCACTGCACTCCAGCGTGGGCAAGAGAGCAAGCCTGTGTCCCCAAAGAAAAAAAAGGTCTCCATTGTACCATTGTAAACTTAAACATTTTACCCAAATGATTTAGTACACAATGTTTGCTAAATTTAAAGAAAGCCATCACGTTTAATTTATTATTTTTATTAGAGATAATACATATTTTCTGTCCTTCCCCTAATATTTTAAGTGAGGTTGTTCATATGCAGGGATTTAGAAGGAAATTATGGCTAAATGGAGAATCACATTATATTGTTGAGGAAGTAACTAAAATAAACTCTAGCTATGCATGATCAATTGCAGTGCATGTTAGATCTCTTTTATATTATAAATATCATAGACAGTGGTTTGTGAGAACCCTTCATTAAAGATTCAGTCATGTTAAGATTATATATGTTAATATCTCATGTCACTGCACACCTTTACCGTTTTATTATGGATTTTGCAATATATTCTCTGAGTGTTTGAACTTTTACTGTTCCACAAACAGAAATGATTCATGATGCATTGTATTTAAGGAAAGTAATAGAGAATTTTTTGTCTGTCTCTTTCATATTATGGCATTGAAATTTGATCTTTGATGAAGGAACAATAACAAATCTATTACAATTAAAAGTGATGATTCTGGAAAATAAATGCACCAAGAATTATGAATGAAGTAATTTAAGTAAATTGGCAATTAGACTTTAATATTCTAGTATCTAAAATTTCCAATTCTGCTCACCCACAGACATACTGAGATACGTGCTGACATTTTATCTTCCCTCCCTTTAGACTAAGTTATAGATCATTTAATGATAAGACATGTCTGATTTATTGTTTGTGATGTTTCTTGAAAGTATATGTATATTCTTTTTTCTCACAGTCAGCATGATTCTCTTAGGGAATGAAGAATGTAGAGAAACAACAAAACTTTAGCCTTCAGCTCTATTCTAGCTTTTCCCAGAAATAAGAATAATACTTTTCACTCAAAAATTTTCATGGACATAGAAAAGGCTAATATATATCTTATCTTGTATGAAATGCAAGATGCTAATATATATCTTATGTAATATGCTAATATGTAATGTATAGCTTATGTAATATGTTAATATGTAATATATATCTTATGTAATATGCTAAGATGTAAATGCTGATATATGTTTTATATATATCTTGAACTTGTATGAAGTTTAAATTCATACAAGATTGGCTTTTTCTCAAATTTTTTTCAAATAATTTTTATTCTCTATATATTTAAAATATTTGAGGTACATTTTTGTAGTAGCATTATAACTTATCTGTCTTTAGTTGCTGCTAAGTTTTTATGTCTCTCACCTACTACTTCAAAAACTGTATTATTTTGAGACAATTTAGGACCCTGAATCATTCCATCTACCATTCTAAGAAGATCTCTAATTTTTGGAGTAGAAAGGAGACTCTGCTGGTCTGTATGTCCTGTAGCAGATTCTTGGGTAAAACCATCTGCAACTTGCAAAAAGACTTTAGGTTTAAGTCCAATCCTGTTAACATTATATAGCTTCATTATATTTTTTTACCACTCAATAAAAATGTATTGAGCTATTAGTATGTGTAAATATTTCTTTACCAGTAAAAACACACATTTGGGTAAAATCAACACAGATGAGCTTATATTCTAGCAGGGAAAATATACATAAAATGAATGACTGCATATTTTTGTTTAATAAATATAATTACTACTACAAAGGAGAAGTACACATGCTATGGGTAGATATTACTAGTTTGTCATGCTCTAGTCTAGAGCTTCAGCAAAATCTTCCTACAGGTATTTTCAAATTGAAATTGAGGTGTCATTTTAGTAACACAAAACAGTCTGCATATGTTCTTCGGCAGGAAGTGATTACAATAGCATCATCGAATATCACTGACCACAGATCAACATAACAGATTTAATAATAAGAAGAAGTTTGAAATATTTTGAGAATTACCATAATGTGAAACATGCACACGAAGTGAGCACATGCTGTTGGAAAAATAGTGTTGTTGGAGTTGCACAACGCAGTGTTGCCACAAACCTTCAGTTTCTAAATAATAGAGTATTCATGCAGGATTTTTCTCAGCCCGTTCATCGGACTTGTAACAGGGGTGCCCTGTTTACTCAGATAGCTGTGCTCAACCTTTTGTGGGAGGGAGCATGTGAGCAAGCTCCATGGGGAGCCTGTGGTGGTGCCTTGGTGGAGCTGCAACCCCAAAGTCCCAGAGAGTGTTACAATGCTTTCTTAGCTCTGCTGTCTGCAGATGGCTGTATATTAGCAGTTCAATTGACCCCTTGCCTCATTGTGTGAGGTGGCTGTCCTCCACCAGCTAGGTCAAAGGGCCAGTTTGACAGACTTTCTGGGTACCTGCACTTGGTAGGTACTGAACTCTTTTCTGGTGTCCAAGAAGAATGAGGTTGTGCAGACTAATTGAACAATGGTGAAGGTGGATAATCTTACTGAGCTATGAAAATGACTCTCAGTGGACAGAGGAGTTGGAATGGGGATGGGAAGGGTAGGTCACCTTCCCTGAAGTCAGGGTTGTCTCTTCCCCGAAGTCAAACCATCTCTCCCCTAGTCAAGCCATCTCTCCCTTCTACCCACTGAGTCTGGAGTCTTTATAGGCACAAGATCGGGGGTGGAGTGGGACATGGGTAGTTTTGGAAAAGGTGACATTCTTTTGGAAAAAAGGCATTATTCAGAAAGAAGCAATTGGGAGTAGCAAATAGGAATAGAAGTTCTCACTGGGCCACACGTTTCTGTTTTTTTGGCTTGAAGGTGGGGTTTCACCGGGGACCCACCCATGTCTGTCTAGAATTTGTCTGCCTCTTGCCTCTATCAATATCTGTGAAACACAATAAAGCAGAGGAAAATGAAATGAGAATGCCTACAATAATTTTTGTTGATGAGTTGAACAGATCTGGAGAGTGGAGTGGTGTGTGTTTTAGGTAGAGGCAACATGCATAAAGGCACAGGGTTAAAAGAAATCAATGAAATAGGAAGAAATGAAAAGAAATGTATAGTAGCTCCCCCTTATCCATGGTTTTTCTATCCTGGATTTTACTTTCAGCAGTTTCAGTTACCCATGGTCAACCTAGGTCCAAAAATAGGTGAGTACCATGTTCTCATAACTTTTATTATGGTATATTGTTATAACTTTTATTTTATTATTAGTTACTATTAATCTCTTCCTGAGCCTAATTTATAAAGTTTAAAGAATAAAAATAAGTTAAACTTTATCCTAGGTATGTATATATATTGAATAAAGCATAGTATAATATATATATGGGGCTCAGTACTATTAATGGTTTTAGGCATTCACTAGGGGACTTGGAAAATACTGCCCATGGATAAGAGGGAACTTTTATAGTGAAACCCATCCACTTAAAATTCAGTTAAGAAGGAAAACACTATATACACCTTTGAAGAATCTTGTTCTAAATGTACATATTCAATCTCTTCCATTATGTCTAGGTACAAAAGTAATCACTGGTCTGATTTATTTATAGATAGATAGTTCAATAGATTGATAGATGGAGATTTCAGGTATCTATCTAAATCTGTCTATAATCTTGTACTGAGTTATATCACATTTTTAACCTAAAAGCTTTATTCTTACTATTCTATTTCTTTCCAAAGTGAGAACTGGAATTATTCTTCACATAAAAAGCCAATTTTGACATTTGTAAAATATGTGAACCAACTGTTTTCAAACATTTTTCAACACACACGTAAGACTGTGATCCCTGAGTAAAGGCAAACACATGAAGGCATATTACAGTCTTTCGGATAGAGGCAATTTCTAGATATTGGTGTAGGGAATGAAAACTGAAGTAGATTGTGGCAATTTTGCTGAGTTTAAAAGTAAGAAATTAAAGTTCAGAAGGCTTTGGAAGCTGGAATTTTCAGGACAATATGCCAGAGAGTAGGGAGTTATAAGCACTTTGATCATTTCTTCTTCATGATGCGTGAATATATTACATCAAATTTTCTTAGGTTTGAAAAAAATTTGATAAACTGTTCATATACATGTGGGAAATTTCAATTTTAATTGCACTACCAGGCATGTAGCAAGCAGTAGCAATCAGAACTTCAAATGTAAGTTAAAATTACACCCTCAGCAGTGTATCCAATGTAACTAACAAAGTTGATGAAAAGCCTGAATAGATACATACTTTGTAGGCAAGGCTAAGGTTGTATCCCCAATGTTTATAACATTTCATAAAGTCATATACTTTGCTTCTTTCTCGTTCTTTCTTACTAACTCACTGGATGCAGAAATATATTAATGCACAAAATATACTCTAATGTTTTTAAGTGAACATTTAGATAAGAACACAGTTTAGAGATAGCACAGTTGTGACTGTAGCCACCAATGGACTAAGACCCTTGCATTTGCTGTTCATTACCAAGATTTTCAATACTCAGTAATCAAAAGAATAATATTTTAATCTTTGTCACTTAATAACATTGCTTATTTAAATTTTTGTAGTTAATCAAATATGTTGATGGAATTGTGAAAACAATATTTTGACCTAATTTTTGTATTTTAGGATTTATATATTTTTTAGTCAATAATATTATTTACTCTTAAACCAAACAACAACCTTTATGGGTGCTTCATGGTATTTACACCATAGAAATATTGGCAGATAACATTTTAATAGGAATTCAAGCTCTTGGGCAAGGTCGACAGTTGATATTCTCATTATGAAAAAGAAAAAAGAAAATTAAAAATAATACTGTATTTTTTAATGATGTTTCTTAAACTGCAAGGAGCTAGTCATCAACATTCTTATTGTGACAGCATCCTAAATGTCATGTGATTACAATAGGAATGAAAATCATTTTGCACGTTTGTATATTTCTCATTTTCTTCTTTAATTTGCAGTTAAACTAAAGAGATAAAAGCAAACCTATTTCTCATTCTTTTTCCATCATTATTTTCCAGATTTTATCATATCTTAATTTTATTATGTCTATACAATTAATGAAGTGTTTTGTATTCTTATAATTATCATTTGAGCCTCTTGTTTCTAAATCTTTTTATACTCCAAGAGCTTATGCAAGGCTTTAATTTTACACTTGTTCATTCTAGTAATGTGGGAGTAGTATGGCATGCACTTCATAGAATACTGAACTCCAACCACCCAGCTTTTATGAGCCAAAGATGAACTTATCAACTGTGTTAAATAGCAGTATTGTTTTTAATGTAATTATGGGAAGAACTTATAAAAAGTTATGAAAATTATATAAAATAGAGAACAAATAGAGAACAACCATAAGAAGATACATCCTTAAATTTTAAAAAATATGATAGTTGAATTATTATGCTCAATAGTTAGCCATTTATTGCTGTTACTATCAAACTGCAAAAATATGTTAGAGTAAAAAAGAAATTTAATAGACTCTGAAGAAGGAAATTTCTCATGTGTTGAATAAAATTATCCCCAATAAAATATTTCACACTTGTCTCAACTGTTTTTATTTCAATATAAATGGATTTTAGTGCATAAAAATTACAGAAAAAATTACAGAAATTTATGATGTTCAGCCTGTAAAACTGGATAAGAGACCAGAAACAGAAATAAGAGCAAAAATAAAATATAATTTCATATGAAGAGAATTTAAGTATATGTCAGGGTATCCAGAAAGCATTTTATAACAGAAGAAAGTTATATATGTATACACTTTATTTAGCTAATACCAAATGTATTTCTATTTTCTCAGAAATACAACTTTGTTTAAACAACACTTTTGTATTTTCAGTTTACTTATTCTCATACTTTTGTTTCTGACCTTTGAGAATGTATCTTCTTGTACCCATGTGATTGTTCAATTAAAAGAAACATTATAAACAACAGTGTTCAGCAGGCCTTAAGGAAATTATACTATTAAACAAATAACATGAAAAGACTAAACAGAATTGCTAAAACTGAGGTACTGGAAGTCAGCCAGTCTGCAGGCAATAAACAGATAGTTATTAGTTCATGAGCTTGCTAACCTGAAGATTTATGGGGAATAAATACAAATAAAATGCCCAAAGCATGTCTGTAAGACATTGTGTTCAATAAGTGAATGAGAATAACTACAAACACAGAAAGTCTAAGTACTTAAAATATATGTTGAATTATAATCTCCAGCCAATAAGACACTGCTGTAAACTGTTTACCAAGAATAGTGGCATGCAGAATTATCAAGATGTAAAAATGGAAAAAGGATAGCTTATATATAAAAAAATTATAAACAACCAAATGCATTAACAAGCGCAATTCACAAAAAAAATGCTAACTAAAAAGTGGCTTTTCCCCCAAAACTGTTTATATTTTATCTTTGGAGTGATTGAGTTTATTTTGTCCTTTTTCTCCTAACCACTTAAAAAGGTACTTTTCAAATAAAAAGATCCACTATCAGAGCTCTGAATACTTATAGTGAGTAAGAAAAACAAATTAATTAATTAAACATTTTCATGTGATTCTTATCATACATCTTATCATATATCATAATATTAATATAGTGTATATTTATAAATAAAATATATATATATACATGCATTTTTATATAGGTAAAATACAACATTTATTAAATAAATCTTAATTATACAATTATACTCAATTATAATTATAGAAGATAAAATATATTGATATATTTTTAAAAATACACTGAATTTCAAACATGATATTTGCTTAAAATTATGGTAAGTTGACTATAACGTAGATAATATTAGGAACTCAGCAAATGGTGTAGAAGCTGAGAAGTAGAAAATACGATAAAAGCAGAACAATTTTCGTGGAATAAAGGAAGAAAAGCAAGTCAGATGAGGCACCTGACCACCCAGGCAGAAAGGGCATGATCAGAATCAGTAACCTTGAAGATAAGCAAGCCCAATTTTATTTCAGGCAAAGGTTAGCCTTAAGATTTTCTGGGGTGAAAGTATGGTCTCAGCTGTCAGCTGCGCAGTGGTTGAAAATGTCTGGAAAGTACTTAGAAGCAGGAAAAAAAAATAAGTACGACTATCTTGAAATATTGTGTCCAAAAGCATAAGTACCTAACTTTGGAACTAAGTTTCTGGAGTTGGAGTCCAGCTCTTACAAAGACAGGAAAGTTCAGGTAAGAGGATGAAACAGAAATTAAAACAGAAGTCTCAACCAAAGGACATGTACTGTGATTTTCACTTTTTATGGCCAAAGTTTGTTTAACTGAGAGACAAATTATATGATTATGTGACTTAAGTATAAGATGTTTGTATGTCATTCTACTCAGTATAATAATATACTCCTGTGAGTAAGAATCCCTGAAGGAATTTTAGCAAAAGAGTAACTCATACATAATTAAAGTATATCCTTGGGGAAAAGAAGAGACTATTCACATGCTTCCTAGACTTATGATGCAATTGTTGGAGAAAATTATGATATAATATGATATAAAAATATAATACTTTGAAAATATTTTTCATTTAAATTTTATGTTGAACAACTAGAAGGAAATATCCAGAGATTGTTAAAAATATGAAAATGTGGTTTGTGAGTCTTAGAGATTGAAATTATTTTTATAAAGATGTGGGTAAAAACCATGAGCCTGAAGCAAATTGAACATTGACAATGAAGATAAAAGTCAAATAGGAATTGAGCCCTATGGAACATCTACAGGTAAGGAAAAGGCAAGAGAAAGAAAACAAGGATCCTACAAAATAGAGAAGGTACAAGCAGAGAAGTGGGAGTAAAATCAAAGGAAATATATGACAGCTATAAAGTATTGTCTTACACATTCTTGGACCATCCTCTCCTAAAAAAGAATCCAGTACATAGTATAATTGACTGAATGGATGCTTTTAAAGTATAGAAGTAAGTTTAATTGCTTTGCACAGATCCATCAGAGGAGCCATCATCTATGGTAGCTATAACCTTACAAAATGTATTTCTTAAATAATAAGATTTGAAAGTGAAAATTACATCTTGACCCATGGGCTGCAGAATGAATATTGTATTAGCAGGCAGGAAAACAACAATTAATATCTTGGTACATCTCTATTAGAGATATAGGGTGAGTAGATGCATTTTCAATGACTAATATTTTGAAAAATATTTTTTCTAAGCAGTAGGTCTCAACAATTGGCTTGAAATATTCAGTAAACCATGGTGTAAACAAATGTACTGTCATCCAGGCTTTGCTGTTTCATTTACAGAGTATATACAGAGTAAATTCAGGATAATTTGTAAGGGACCTAGGATTTTTTTATTTTCTTATTATTTTTTATTTTTTTTATTGAGACAGAGTCTCACCATCACCCAGGCTGGAGTGCAGTGGCACGAACTCGCCTCACTGCAACCTCCACTGGGTTCAAGTGATTCTTGTGCCTCAGCCTCCTGAGTAACTGGGACTACAGGTGTGTGCTACCATGCCCAGCTATTTTTTTTTTTTCATTTTTTGTTGGGATGGAGTTTCATCATGTTGGCCAGGCTTATCTTGAACTAGGGCCCTAGGACTTTAAGAATAGTACATAAGCACTGGCTTCAACTAAAAGTCACCAGCTGTGTTAGCTCCTAAGAAGGCAGCCTGTCCTATGAAGTTCTGAAGCCAGGCTTTGATTTCTCCTCTCTGGCTGTAAAAGTACTAGACAGCATGTTCTTCCAATAGAAAGCTATTTTATCTACAGTGACATTCTGTTGTTTAGTATGGCCATCTTTATTAATTATTTTAGATAGATCTTCTGGGTAACTTGCTGTAGCCTCTACATTAGCACTTGCTGCTTCATCTTGTGCTTTTGTGTTATACAGACAGCTTCTTGCCTTAAACTTCATGATCCAAACTCTGCTAACTTCCAACTTTTCTTCTGCAGCTGCCTTACCTCTCTCGGCTTTATATAATTAAGGTAAGTTAGGGTCTAGATCTGGAATAGCTTTGGCTTAAATGGAATGTTGTTGCTTGTTTGATCTTCTATTCCAGACCCCTTTAACTGTCTCCATATTGGCAATAAGGCTGTTTTGCTTTCATATCATTCATGTGTTTACTGGGTGTAGTTGTCCGTTTTCACACTGTGAAAGACATACCCAAGAGTGGGCAATTTACAAAAGAAACATGTTTATTAGACATACAGTTCCATGTGGCTGGGGAGGTTGCAAAATCATGGTGGAAGTTGAAAAGCACATCTAACATGGCAGCAGATGAGAAGGCCCGTACAGGGAAACTCCCCTTTTAAAAATCATCAGATATTGTGAGACTTGTTCACTGTCATGAGAACAGTATGGGAAAGACCTGACCTCGTGATTCAATTGCCTCCCACTGTGTCCCTCCCACAACACATGGGAATTCAAGAGAAGATTTGGGTAGGGACACAGTCAAACTATATCATTCTGCTCCTGGCCCCTCCCAAATCTCATGTCCTCACATGTCAAAACCAATCAGCCTTCCCAACAGTTCCCCAGAGTCTTAACTCATTTCAGCATTAACTCAAAAGTCCAGTTCAAAATATCATCTGAGACAAAGCAAGTCCTTTTTGCCTATGAGCCTGTAAAATCAAAAGCAAGTTAGTTACTTCCTAGATATAATGGTGGTACAGGCACTGGGTAAATACAACTGTTCCAAATGGGAGAAACTGGCTAAAACAAAGGGGCTACAGACTCCATGCAAGTCTGAAATCCAGTAAGCCAGTCAAATCTTTAGGCTCCAAAATGATCTCCTTTGACTCCAGGTTTCACATCCAGGTCACACTGATGCAAGAGGTGGGCTCCATGTCCTTGAGCATCTCCACTCCTGTGGCTTTGCAGGTTATAGCCCTCCCACCCCCAACACCACCATCGCTGGCTGCTTTCCCGGGCTTATGTTGACTGTCTGTGGCTTTTCCTGGCATGAGGTTCAGGCGTTGGTGGATCTACCATTCTGGGGTCTGGAAGATGGTGGCCCTCTTCTCTCAGCTCCACTAGGTGGTGCCATTGTAGGGACTTTGTGTGGGGGCTTCCAACCCACATTACCCTTCCACACTGCCCTAGCAGAGGTTTTCCATGAGGTCACTGCCCCTGTAGCAAACTTCTGCCTGGGCATCCAGGCATTTCCATACATTCTTTGAAATCTAGACAGAGGTTCCCATACCTCAATTCTTGACTTTTGTGTACCCACAGGCACAGCACCACATGGAAACTGCCAAGGCCTGGGCTTCCACCCTCTGAAGTAACAGCCTGAGTCATACCATCGCCACTTTTTGTCACAGCTGGAGCAACTAGGATGCAGGGCACCAGGTCCCTAAACTGCACATAGCCGAGGGTCCCTGGGCCCAGCTCACAGAACCAATTTTTCCTCCTAAACCTCTGGGCCTGTGATGAGACGGGCTGCCTTGAAGACCTCTGATATGCCCTGGAGACATTTTTTCTATTGTCTTGGGGATTAACATTTGACTCTTCATTACTTATGCAAATTTCTAAAACCAGCTGGAATTTCTCCTCAGAAAATGGGGTTTTCTTTGCTATTGCATTGTCAGGCTGCAAATCTCCCAAACTTTTATGCTCTGTTTCTCTTTTAAAACTGAATGCCTTTAACAGCACCCAAGTCACTTCTTGAATGCTTTGCTGCCTAGAAATGTCTTCCACCAAATACCCTAAATCATCTCTCTCAAGTTCGAAGTTCCACAAATCTCTAGAGTCGGGGCAAAATGCTGCCAGTCTCTTTGCTAAAACATAACAAGTCTCACCTTTGCTCCAGTTCCTAACAAAATCCTCATCTCCATCTGAGACCACCTCAGCCTGGATTTCATTGTTTATATCATTATCAGCATTTTGGTCAAAGACATTCAACAAGTCTCTAGGGAGTTCCAAACTTTCCCACATTTTCCTGTCTTCTTCTGAGACCTCCAAACTGTTTCAATCTCTGCCTGTTACCCAGTGCCCAAGTCGCTTCAAAATTTTGGGGTATCTTTTCAGCAATGACCCATTCTACTTGTACAAATTTACTGTATTAGCCCATTTTCACATTGCCAATAAAGACATACCAATTTACAAAAGACAATTGGCAATTTACAAAGGAAAATGTTTATTGGACTTACAGTTCCATGTGGGTAGGGAAGCCTCACAGTCATGGTGAAAGGTTAGAGGCACGTCTCACATAGTGTCAGACAAGAGAAGAAGGCTTTTGCAGGAAAACTCCCCTTTTTAAAACCATCAGATCTCATGAGACTTATTCACTATCAAGAGAACAGCATGGTAAAGACCTGCCTCCATGATTCTATTACCTTTCACCATGTTCTTCCCACAACGTGGGAATTCAAGATGATATTTGGGTGGAGCCATAGCCAAAGTGTACCACTGGATTAGCACTTTTAATTTCCTTCAAGAACTTATTCTTTACTATCAAAACTTGGCTGTTTGGCACAAGAGACCTAGCTTTCAGCCTATCTCAGCTTTTGACTTGACTTTCTCACTAAGCTTAATTATTTCTAGCTTCTGATTTAAAGTGAGAGATGTGTAACTGTTCCTTTTACTTGAACACTTAGAGGCCATTGTAGGGTTATTTATTGGTCTAATTTCAATATTGCTGTGTCTCAGAGAACAGGGAGGTTTAAGGAGAGGGAGAAAGATGGGAACAACTCTTTGATGGAGCATCAGAACACACACAATATTTATCAGCTAAATTCCCCTTTTGTATGAACACAATTTATGATGCCCCCAAAAAGTTACAATAGTAACATCAAAGATCATGACTAATCACCATAACAGATACAATAATAATGAAAAAGTTTGAAATATTGTGAGAGTTGACTAAAATGTGACACAGAAATACGAAGTGATCATATGCTGTTAGAAAAATTGGCACTGATAGACTTGCTCCGCTCAGGGTTGCCATAAACCTTTCACTTTATAAAATATGCAATATTTGCAAAGTTCAATATAAAGAAGCTCAATAAAACAAGGATACTTGTGATTACCTTATTAAGCAGAACATTTTGTTCAGCCTCCAATATGCTTTTAAATCTTGCATATCCTCTATATTACTTTCTTTGTGTTATATTAATCTTGATTATGTGGTATGGTATGTCCTGCATAATATGTCATAAATATTTATTTTCATGCCTGTATATCCATTGTTAGAATTGTCATTATTGCATAGAATATGGAATAGGGACCTCAGCAAGAGATAGCATGATGGGGCAAGAATTATTCAGGAAAGAATAAAGACAGTCTCAAGCTCCTCACAACTCCTGAATGATAGGAAAAAACATATCACTATCTCCAGTAGGCCACTGATTATATCCCCAAAGTTTTGCAGTTATGTACGGGTTCCCAAAGCTATTGAAGAATGGGGTGCAGCTTCACTTGTATGAGATGAAAGTGGACATATGTGGCCAATTGGACATCAGAAAGATGTGATAAAAACTCCTGGAGTTCTCATATACATACAGAATTGCAGAAGATAAGGTCTGTTACAATTGGATTTGTCATGTCTTGCCGATGTAAAGCCTCTTGACTTCAAGCTAGATTGACCATAGAATTCTGCAGAAAGAGAAAAATATGGGTTAGGTATGAAAACTTCTGTTTCAACTAAGACATGAACAGCCATACTGAAAGACATTTTACCCAATTCTATCCCATATTTCATTCTGAGCTGGCCAGCAACATGGTCACGAGAAGTAGAGAAAAAGTCAGCAAGCAGATTGCTGTGGCCTGAGAGTGCTGCCCAAGTCATGAGAGGGGGTTTTAACAGACAGAAATAGAGAATAATGGTTAATTCTCCATCTCTGTAAAATTACTATTAAAATCTCATTAATTGGTAAATCATTTAGATGAAGATAGGGGTAAAAGATGGTAAATGAGTGAGGTTTTAATAGTTATTTTAAATTTAATTTATTGGGAAGTTCTGAGATAGCAATAACTGTTAACTGGCATATTTAAATTTTGACATTATGTCTTTTACTGTCAACTCAGTTTGGAAAATTGGGAGCTTTGAAATAAAAATGTAATGAGTTATTATAAAATATGAGGATATTTTTATTTATGCAAAGCTATTATTTTCATTACTCTGGAAATACATGTAAATTACATCATTTATACAATGCATATGACATACTTAGTAATACTTAAATAAGATGATTTAAATATTGTCTTGTCCAGAGTTCCTCGATAGCAATTCTTAGAAATCAAAATAACAGGTAAGAGTTGTGGTAAAATCTGGCTCATGCTTTGTTAAACACAAATTATGCACGCTCTTTTATTACAGTAATGTTTTTCATAGTGGCAATGTGAATTATCAATCTCTAAGATGATCCTAGACTCAATTCCAAAACACAACATATTTTTAAAAACTATTATACATTCCAATGCTTGCTATAAATTCAGTTTTAGAAATTCTTATTTATTTATATTCCTAATTTTTCCATTGGGGAAATCCAATGAAATAAGAAATAATTATTATTAGCTAAAATTGAACAGATGAATATCTGGAAAAAAACAAGAATTTAACCTTAATTATGCCATACTATTGAACTCACCTGAGTTCTACATCACCTGCTTAATTTACCATGGTGTTCTAGAAGTAAATTTGGATTCCATTTTAGCTAACGTTGTAACAAGATCACACGATAGATTTCTTCTTTAATTAAGCTTATTACCAGTGTCCTGTTTGCATGCTATATAAAATAATTCTACTCATCTTTATTTTTTTAACTTAAAAATGGAATTTTGCTTTTCTTATAACGATGGGCTATTATAATTTCATAAACGTAAGTTACCTAATTATGAAATAGATGCTATAATTACATTTTATTTTTTATCAAAGAAGCATTGTCAAAGTTTTCCTGTTGAACATCAATTTATTAGAATTTTAAAAACATAGAACTTACTTGAAATCCAGGTTAGCAAGACCATATATTACATTTAAATTGTATTACTTGTATGTCACTGTACTTTATCTCAAAATATCAGATTCCTTGATATCACCCATAGCAATGAAGTAGAAGCAAACATCTTTACACATTCCCTTATCCCTGACGCAGACTCGTAAATTTAATTTACCAAATTTACCACTGTTATGCTTCTGTCATGGAGTTAACATTTGCATCTAGATAAATGATGTTGATGTGCATGTATATTGTTTGATATATAAAATTACTTTCACTAAAGGATAAGTGCATTCTAATACAATGCATAAAGGATATTTCACAGAGTATAACTTGACCTAGAATAATTGGGAAAACAATTATTCTCTAAAATGTTAGACTTAATAGCACTTGAATTATAAATTTAATAGGTAAAGTTTGTAATAAATCAATAATTATAAAAAGGGCATAATAATTACTTTTAAAACAATTAATGCATTCTTTTTTTAAACCTGTATTTATTAGGTGCTTATAACGTGTCAGGCTATGTGTTGAAGATATCATGGTTAAGAAAATAGTACCTCTCCTCAAATTATTATTAATATTATTAATAATATTTTTTGAGACAAGGTCTTGCTGTGTTGCACAGGCTGGAGTGCAGTTGTGTGATCATAGTCATTGTAACCTCAAGCTCCTGGTTTCAAGCTACCCTCCCATCTTGGCCTCAGCATTGGGATTACAGGCATGAGCCACTATGCTCAGGCCTCAAATTGTTTATAGATAAGATGGACCTAACTCTTGTTTTCCCAGTAAAGTACACATCTATGTGTCCTTTAAAATCAAATTTAAGAATACAAAAATCAGCTGGGCATGATGGCTCGGGCCTGTAATCCCAGCTACTCAGAAGGCTGAGGCAGGAGAATCACTTGAACTTGCGAGGTGGAGGTTGCAGTGAGCTGAGATTGCACCACTGCACTACAGCTTGGGCAACAGAGCGATATATCATCTCAAAAAAAAAAAAAATTTATGATTATTCCTTTTACTCTCAAATGGACCGTAGTATGTATGACTAGTTACATGACTATTCCATTTACAGACTATTGTTACAGAATATATATTTCTTATATGGTATACAGAAATATTGAAAAAGCTTGAATTTTATCTTACTTGCATCCATTAAAGCAACTTCTTTTAAATCTCACTGAAAGCTGAATTTTGATTACCTATCAAAAGGATCAACCTCATGCCACAGAAATCAGTAAATTAATTCCATCCAGCCGTGATAAATCTTGTTTGCAGAACTCTGTATAAAGAAGATTTTGACAACATATTATAAATTGATTGTAAGTAAACCTGTAGTTTTCCTATGGGGGGAAGATGTGGTATTTACTCCTACAACTAAATATTCCCGTTCTTCTTTTAGATAAAACCTAGATATGGAACACTAGTCATTAAGACATTAATTGTGGGTGTAGAATATATTTTAAAGAAATCTACTGAAGAATTAATATTTTTAAAACAATAAAAGCAAGCTGCTAGAATGCAAATATGCATATGAATTGAACTCAATTATAAAATAGAAATGGAGTAGGTTCAGAATAATTAAGAAAAGTTTACTCAGAACTCTGAAGAAAGAATTAAATAATTCTCACTTTTCTAAGAAATTATTCCTTAACTAAGTACAGGTTGAATCTATACATTAGGTAAATAAAGAGATGTTTTGAGGATTTTTAAAGTAATTCAACCCACCACAGAAAGTTTTGAGGCATACAGAGGTTCTAAACACATATTTTTGCTAACAATATACTTTTTTGCATATTTGTAAATACTTAACAGAAATATAGTCTGCTTCTTCAGAAGTGTAGTCTGTTTCTTCACAGAAATAAGTTGGAAGATGGCAGTTCTCCATCTTATATAAACAATAAAGTATACAAATAGCTTTTCAATGCTAATGAGTAATATTGTTAGTTACTAATACTTAGAATAAAAGACTTGAATATTATCTCTGTATGTTTAAGAAGAAAACTTGGCCTGGCACAGTGGCTCACGCCTGTAATCTCAGCACTTTTGAGAGGCTGAGGTGGGCGGATCACTGGAGGTCAGGAGTTTGAGACTAGCCTGGCCAAAACGGCAAAACCCCGACTCTACTAAAAATACAAAAATTAGTCGGGTGTGGTAGCATGCACCTGTAATCGCAGCTACTCGGGAGGCTGTGGCAGGAGAATCACTTGAACCTGGTTGCGGTGAGCTGCAATTGTGCCAGTGCTCTCCAGTTTGAGCAACAGAGAGAGACTCCATTTCAAAAAAATAAAATAAGTTAATTAATATAAATAAGAAGAAAACTCACATCACATTTTGTGGTGTATGGAGAAAAGAGGCAATGACTTTCTTGTCTTTATCTCCACAAATACTCTCTATTATACCTTCTAAAGTATACATCTTATAGTACATGCTCATTCAGTATTTGATGGATTGTTGAATTGAGAAATTAAGTTGTGAGACGCAATTGAACATTTGTGGTTTTTTGTGAAAGTAAATGAGATGATTAAGAAGATGCAGATTTTTCTCTACAGTCTCTGGCTTAAAATGATAATTTGCTAATTCTGATAAAATGAGTAAGTGGAACTAGATCATTTCCAAATGATCCTACCGCACTATTTTTCATGACATTTCTTCTTTTTTGGGGGGGAAAAAACAAAACTTTTAAGTTATGTTTATCCAAGACACCTGGAGGATGCCACAAATTGCAGTAAATTGAAATGATTTCTAAGGAGAAACCATGTAAACATAATGACTTAAAATGATTCTTTGTATAAATAGCTTGTCGTGTTTTTTAGCTTGCCTTGAAAATAAATATTTTGAGGAGTGTGTGTTACCTAGAAGTTTGCTTTTTGTTTCCTTTTTGGAATTTTTTTTCTATAATAGTATTAGAATTTTCAGATATTTATCAATAAATTTCTAATCAAACATTCTGTGGATAGTTCTGAAAGCAAAAGCAATGTTTAGTTATATTAAAATTAACATGTATAGGTGCAGTCAGAATTAATCAGTGATATAAAATATAATGAAAAACAATGTAGTATGTAAACTTAGGAATTTGAGTGATTAAATGACAGAAAATTTAAATGTTTATCCAAATCAAAAATCAAATCATATCTTTACTTTTAATGATTCACAAAATAATTAATTACCAACTTATACTTTTTATATATCTACCTACCTATTTATCTAAATGGATAAATAAAGACATATTCTTAGTGTTGCAGAAAGTCAGGGACCGCGAACGGAGGGACCGGCTGGAGCTGTGGCAGAGGAACATAAATTGTGAAGATTTCATGGACATTTACCAGTTCCCAAATGATACTTTCATAATTTCTTACGCCTGTCTTACTTTAATCTCTTAATCCTGTTATCTTCGTAAGCTGAGGATGTATGTCACCTCAGGGCCACTATGATAATTGTGTTAAAGGTACAAATTGATTGTAAAACATATGTGTTTGAACAATGTGAAATCAGTGCACCTTGAAAAAGAACAGAATAACAGCGATTTCCAGGGAACAAGGGAAGACAACCATAAGGTCTGACTGCCTGTGGGGTCTGGCAAAATAGAGCCATATTTTTCTTCTTGCACAGAGCCTATAAATGGATGTGCAAGTTGGGAAGATATCACTAAATTCTTTTCCTAGCAAGGGTTAATACTCTGGGAAAGGAATGCATTCCTGCAGGGAGGTCTAGAAACGGCCGCTCTGGGAGTGTTTGTCTGATGCAGTTGAGATAAGGACTGAAATACACCCTGGTCTCCTGCCGTACCCTCAGGCTTACTAGTGTGGGGAAAACCCGGCCCTGGTAAATTTGAGGTCAGACCGGTTCTCTGCTCTCGAACCCTGTTTTCTGTTTCTTAAGATGTTTATCAAGACAATACGTGCACCGCTGAACATAGACCCTAATCAGTAATTCTGCTTTTGCCTTTTGCCTTGTGATCTTTGTTGGACCCTTATCAGGAGTTTCTGATTTTTGCCCCGTCCTGTTTCCTCAGAAGCATGTGATCTTTGTCCTCCTTTTTGCCCTTTGAAGCATGTGATCTTGTGACCTACTCCCTGTTCTTGCACCCCCTCCCCTTTTGAAGTCCTTAATAAAACTTGCTGGTTTTGCGGATCAGGTGGGCATCACGTTCCTACCGATATGTGATGTCACCCCTGGCAGCCCAGCTGTAAAATTCCTCTCTTTGTACTCTTTCTCTTTATTTCTCAGCTGGCAAACACTTATGGAAAATAGAAAGAACCTACGTTGAAATATTGGGGGCAGGTTCCCCCGATATCTAGAAGAGTTAATTTTTTTTTTTGAGACAGCGTCTTGCTCTGTCACCCAGGCTAGAGTGCAGTGGCACAATCTCTGCTCACTGCAACCACTGCCTCCCAGGTTCTAGCAATTCTCCTGCCTCAGCCTCCTGAGTAGCTGGGATTACAGGCATCCACCACCCGCCCAGCTAATTTTTGTATTTTTAGTAGAAACGGGGTTTCACCTTGTTGGTCAGGCTGGTCTCGAACTCCTGACCTCATGATCCACCTGCCTCGGCCTCCCAAAGTGCTGGGATTACAGGCATGAGCCACCGCGCCTGGCCAGGATAGTTAATTTTTTGTGTCAATTTACAGGATGCCTCTGGATGAGATTAACATTTAATTTGGTGAATGCTGAGTAAAGCAGATTGCTCATCATATGTTGTAAACTTCATGCAATCTGTTGAAGATCTTAATAGAAAAATAAAAAGATTAGTCTCCCTTAGCAAGAGAGAGCTCCCTAGCAGACTGTATTCAGATTTCATCTCCAACATTGACTTTCATTGTCCTCTAGCTTGCTGTGCCTGTGAACTGGAACCACAGCATTGGCTCTCTTGAATCTCCAAAATGCCAGCCCACATGGTAGATTTTGAACTTACCATTGACTTTGAACAACTGGCTGGTATAAGCCAATACCTTATAATAAATTTCATATATATATGTATATGTGTGAGTATATATAGGAGTGTATGTATACATATATAGATACATACACACACATATATCTCTTATAGGTTCTGCTTCTCTGGAGAACAATGACTAATGTAACCCTTAAAATTAATTTGGTTGAAATATTTATTTATAGGGCCAACACCTCTGACTTTATAGTAGCAACAGAAGGGATTGCAACATTAAAAAAAAATCAATCACAATGTCATAGATTCAAATTTTCAGATAATTTTTATTGATCAAAGCATTTATTTCTCATCATACGGATACTGTTATTAAAAAAATCTGACCTTCAGAATAAAGCAGATCCCATCACTGATACATCATGAAATTTTTTGAATCACACTAAAATTTATATTTTAACTAGTTTATATTTTGTCCTAACTTCAGTTTTAATAAATTTTAGTTACTACAATTGTTATTATAGATACAGTATGCTATTTTTGTTAATAAACAAGTCCAAATCTCAATGAAACATTTATTTATAATTATTTTATATGGATTATGAAGATAAAATTTATTTCTATTGCCTGCTAAATGTTCATTGTGGGACCAATGTGTCTCTGCTTTATGTTATATTCCCTCCAGTCCAGGCTGAAAAAACAGACTCTTGTGGGCATGCCATTTGCTTGGCAAAGGGAACAAAGAAATAAAGCTAACTGTGAATTGGCTTTTAAAACTTCAGAAATGATACATATCACTTCCACACTAATTTCATTGACCAAAATGATTTACATGACCTCTCTTGATTTCAAAATGTATAACTTTTTTTCTAGATGGCGAACCACAAATCCTAATGACTAAATCTGAGATAACTGGGCATGGAGGGAAGTATGATCCTTGTGCAAAGAGAGACACTGTGGATAACACTGACAATCCTGACATTGATAGGATATGGCAGTATAATCCTTCCTCAGGAGGAGCAGCAGATGTTTCAAACAATACATATTTGGTGTCAATCCAACTGACAGAATTACACACATCACCAGTGGATAGAATTTTCAAAAAGTGTTATGCTGGTTTGCTATCAAAATGTTCTTAAACAAGAGTGGCCACAGTAAAACAACTGTCCAATGAAAGTATATGTTTTATATGTGATAGTAACTTGCCTTTAAAATATTCAAATATGACTCTAACAATCATATCTCAAACAATGTTATATTAAAATCTACTGGAATTAAAAAATCCTCCAATTCCCTTACTATGGTAATAGCATACATTCTTTATTTAAAATACTGGTTTGTTCTTAAGAAATTTGGAAAGAAGAATGAGACAGAGAAGGAGTTGAAGAGATAAATGAGGAGGAGAGAAAATAAGAGAAGGAAATAGAAATAATAATCTGGATTAAGAAATAAAGCTTTCCTTACTAGTGCTAATTTTAGTCTCTCAAAAACCACAATAATGTAGATGAAAAGAAGAATCAATAATTGTTGGGGAAAAAAAAGTTTGTATAGTACTGTGGCCAAAACTTTTCTTTTAGAATCAAAGGGTATATGTATATATGCAGGTTTGTTATAAGTGTATATTGCACGATGCTGAGGTTTGCAGTAGGAACAAATTTGTCTGCCAGGTAGTGAGCATGGTACCCAACAGGTAATTTTTCAATCCTTGCTGCCTTCTTGTCTTCCCCCTTCTTGTATTCCCCAGTGTCTATTGTTCTCATCATTTTTTTTCTTTTTTCTTTTCTTTTTTTTTTTTTTTGAGATAGAGTCTCCCTCTGTCACCCAGGCTGGAGTACAGTGGCACAATCTTGGCTCACCGCAAACTCCACCTCCCAGGTTCAAGCAATTCTCCTGCCTCAGCCTCCTGAGTAGCCAGGATTACAGGCATGCGCCACCATGCCCGGTTACATTTTTTTTTTGGTATTTTTAGTAGAGACGGGGTTTCACCATGTTGGCCAGGCTGATCTCGAACTCCTAACCTTGTGATCCTCCCACCTCAGCCTCCCAAAGTGCTGGGATTACAGGTGTGAGCCACTGCACCCGGCCTATTGTTCTCATCTTTATGTCCATGAGTACCCAACATTTAACTCAATGTTTATATAGGTTGCAAATGTTAAGTGTTTTACTCACGGTGGAAATAAATCTATCTCTTTGTTTAAAACTATCAATTAAGTTGATGGCTGAAATTCATTAAAATACATGTATAGAATGCTATAGAAGACAAGCAAATGACACATTTATCACTATAAGTAAATCATATGTCCATGAGTACTTGTGTTTCACATATAAGTAAAAACATGTGGTATTTGGTTTTCTGTTTCTATGTTAGTTTGCTTAGGATAACGGCTTCCAGCTGTACCCATGTTGCTGCAAAAGACATGATTTTATTCTTTTGTATTACTACATAGTATACCATAGTGTATATCTACTACATAAAACATTTTATTTAAAAATATAAAAGATAATCAACAAATACTACTTAGGTAAATTAAAAAGTTTTTAAAATGAAATAATGTAATTTTAATTTATTTAAAATGACATAAAATTTTGAAAAGACATCATTATTCTTATAATTTTTTATCTTGTACAAAAATCTATTTTTTTCTGATTGCTTCAATTGAATTGCTAAATTTATCAATGTGTTGTACTTCAAAATGATCTTACACGAGGCATTGGGACATTTAGAAAGGTGCACATGATTTGGAATGATAGAGATTTGAATTGAAATTTTGACTCAGAAAAGATATTGGCAATTGTGGATTAATGATTACTCTCTCTGAACTGAATTTTATTATTAAGCTTGTGATAAAAATCACATTTCAATAAATTATATATAGATTTTTTAATGCTTGTTTTATCACAACTTTTATCAGTTGAATTTTTCTCCAGACTTACAAAATATTTAAATTTAAGGAAAGTAATTCCACAGGAAATAAATGCATAGTTTCTATGATAGTGCTTTAACTGAAAATAATATTAATTTGATTTGTCTCTTTTTTTAAAATTTGTGCTTCAATTGTGTTTATGCAAATTAAGAGTCTATAGATTTACCAATTAAAATAGTGAAGTTACTTACGAAAACATGTTGTTTAAGAACTCTTGGAACAAGTATAAGGGTTTTGTGATTAGCGTTTACAATGTTAACCATATATTGTATTTCTAATCTGATGCAAATTGAAAGCTAAAGTGCTATCTTTTCCATATCATTTTTTTCTTACAATCGTTTGCTTAGTAGTGATAGATGAGCCATTTGCTTGTCTTCAGTAGCATGCTATACATCTATTTTAATGAATTTCAGCCATCGACTTAATTGATGGATTTAATCAAAGAGATAGATTTATTTCTACACTGAATAAAACACTTAACATTTGCAGCCTATATAAATTATGTTAATACTTCCATTGGCTCTCTATTTGTAGACTAATACACTGCTGATTTTAAGAGAAAAAAAAACCACACTATATATATCACTAATATATCACTACATCACAGTTCCTATATAAATTAGAGTAAAAAAATCTTTCTAGAATACTTTATAATTTGTATTAAATAATTTTGCCAGGAGCCTTCAATAAATCAAGAAGCTTTTGACTTGTCTAATGTATAGCTCTGTGAGCTCCCTTCGTCATTTTACTTTAGACTATTTGTCTTTCCTTGAAAACACCTGTACAAGTGAGATGCCTCTATTGTAATAATACATAGTGTATTAGAAAATTTGTCTTCTAATTAAAAAGCATTAATGACTAATTCCATAAGACTTTACTATAGAAAGTAAAAATGTGATAATAAAATATTGATTTTGAAATTATGTATACATAGCCTTTCTTACAGAAGTGAAAAGCTCTAGGTTAAATTTCATGGAATCCAGTACACGTCACGAGATCTAGCACACATATAAGGAAATACTGGGTTTCTGAATTTATATAATGCAATCATTTCTATGTTTTAATATTTAAAAATATGGTTTCATAATTTTCTCTTACTAAGTCATGTAAGTTATTTATTGTTGCTTCATTAGTTTAAAAAGTACATATATTAATCCTATTCCATTTTACTTTATGGAAAAGTAGTTTTGTCATTGGATAATTTTCTCAAATGGATTAGAATTAACATGCTGCATAGAGGCAGATGTTTCATAAATACAAATTGCAATCACTTGGAATTTACCACAATAATTGATTTATTATATAATAATAAAATTATGTAAAGTCTATTTCCTGTTTTAATATCATTTTCTTTTGGTGGAAGTACACAATGATTTAAAAATTCAATTAAGTTAAAGTAAAATAAAAATTGCTTGATTTTTATTTTAATGTGATTTTTAGAGGAATTAAAGGATAAATCATAAGGCGATGCTATAAACGTGTTAATACCAATACTTTAAAATTAAGATACATTTTGACAAAGGAAAATTTAATTAAATTCAATTACCACAAAAATGTTTATATAAAATATGAATCAAAAATTTCCACTTACTGGAGGAGAGAAAATTTAAATATGATCTAACTATAAGTTGTAATGTTAACTGTGTTAGATGGACTCCAAGACATTCACATTATTTATTAGACATTATACAGTAAAATGGTTTCTTTTTAATGCTCTCACCAAACAGTAAAGACCCTCTAAATGCTGTGGTTATGATTTTAAGGGGATACCAGTCAGTATGGTTGAATTATATCATTTTTTCCTCAGACATGATAACCTACGTAAGTGCAGTTATAGTGTAGGCAAAAAGTTGAATCCTAGATTGGGACTTTTACTAATTATGTATAAAGAAGCAGGAAAGTGACAAATATTTTGATGTTGTATGCAAAGCTATTTTTTAAATGACCGACAATGTAATTTAAGGTGAGTCATAAAGTGAAAACCTATCCTTTTATTGATTATGGTCAATAGAATGTTGAGAGATTTGAAGCTGTGCAATAAATTATCCAAAAGATAATTTTCCAAGGAACTCTTTCAATCTCAAAGCACTCTTGAAATTCATAATTAGAAAATGATCAGTGTGATTAAAATATGAGAAAAGACCTAACAAGACACCCTCCCAAGGAAGATTTACAGATGGCAAAGGAAGCATATGAAAGGATCCTCAACATCAATTGTCATTAGGGAATTGCAAATTAAAACAACAGTTAGATACTACTACAAATGTGTTAGAATGATAAAAATCCAAAAACTGACAACCAGATGCTAGTAGAGAAATTTTTATTCATTTCTGGTGGGAACACAAAATGATACAGCCACCACAGAAAACAGTTTGTTTCGTTTTTTACAAAACTGTACATGTTGTTACCATGTGATTCAGCAAAGGCACTTCTTGATATTTACTCAAATGAGTAGATAGCTTCCTTGAACAAAAAATTTGCACATGGATATTTATGGAAGCTTTACCCATAATTGCCAAAATTGCAAAACTTGGAAGCAATTAAGATGTCTTTCAATAGAGGAACAGATACATAAACTGTGGTATATGTATAGAATGGAATATTATTCAGTGCTAAAAACAAGCGAGTTATCAAGCCCTATGAAGACATGAAAGAACCTTAAATGTATGTTACCAAGTAAAATAAGCCCATCTGAAAAGACACATATTGTATTATTCTAACTATGCCACTCTGGAAAAGGCAAAGCTATGTCTAATATTAAAAAGATCACAGGTTTGGGGTGGGAGGGGAGGATAAACAGGTGAAACACAGGGGATTTTTAGAGCAGCGAAATGATTCTGTATAATACTATATTGGTAAATACATATAATTTTACCTTTGTCTAAACATTATACAATGTACAACACCAAGAGTGAACCCTTGTATAAACTATGAACTTTGGGTGATAATTACATGTCAATGTTGATTCATAGATTTTAACCACACTGATGCAGGATGTTGAGAGTAGAAGATGCTTTGCATGTGTTTGAGGAGGGCTTATATAGAAAACTACTGCCCTCTCTACTAAGTTTTGCTGTAAACCTGTGGCTGTTCTATAAAATAGAGTCACATATTTTTAAAAAAGAAACAAAGAAAGATAGCCTTAGCAAAAAGCAAACAAATAACCAAACTGAAAAACACTTTTACACTGCCATAGTTTATTAAAATCTCTTTTCCTTCTAAAAGTTTTAATGATACACCTTTGGGCTCTATTCCATTTTTGATGTATTTTAATGTAGGACATTAATCCAACTTTGTTTTTTTTTTCCTAATGGATAAGCAATTGTCCTATTGCTATTGCTGATATTTTCCGTTTAATGTATGCACATGTGAAATGTACAAAAGAAACTATGCCTAAATTAATTCATGCAAATCTTTCAAGAAGAGTAAAGCAAATCTAAGTAAAAAAAAATCATTGTTTGACTATTAAATGGGAATAATTTTTCTTTCTTGGTGATAGCTAAAAGAATGTTACATTATAAAGTTAATGGTATCTTCGTTGTTATAATATGCATTACATCAATCTTAATTCTGTGTAATATGTAATATAATACTTATTGAATATTAAAAAGATCCTCCCAAATTCTGTAATTTTACTTATTAAATGCAGAGAAATAAAAACACATTCACACAGTTGCAGTTAAACACGTATCTTCAAAGAAAACACTCGTCAAATGCATTAAAATACACATTTAAAATAAACTTTCTGTCTCTCATTCAATAAAATTTATTTCAATGCTCAATCAAGTCAAAAAATTCTTTAATCTGTATGATCTATAATTTTCTGGTTTTAGAGCTGTTCATTTCACTTTTTATTTCTGTTGTTACTTTATATGTTTATTGACTAAATATGGTAATTGTATTAATTTTAGTAATTTTTACAATACGTAAATGATTTTATTATTATATATAAAATATTTGCTGTACTCTTAATTTTTTGCCATAGAATACATTTCATCTGTTGCTGATACTGATATTCAGGCTTATATTTGTAACTTAGAATTTAGACATAACTACTTCCCTCCTCTTTATTTTTCATATTTCAGTTTGATTTTATTATTATTAATGCAGATTTTGTTTTTACTCTATTATTTTTGTTTGCTTTTCTCTTTTATAAGCTTGTTTTGGTTTGAAAAACTTTCAAAAGTTGTATATTATATTCTTATTTTTGTGATTAACTTTAAAATGTTAATAGTTGGATTCTAGAAAAGAGAACATATTGTTATTAATTATTAATATTAACAAGAATTTTGGCAAATTTAACTCTAAAATTCACTTATCTATCCCTTGCTATTTTAGTTTAGAATTTATGTTTGACCTTTAAAAAGGTGATATTTTAAATTTTACATTTACCAGATTATTAACATTTCTGAAACATTTAAAGTTGTCTTACTTTTGTTTCTTTTTCCTTCACATTCCCTTCAGTTTCGCTTATTTTCTCACTGAGTTATATGTTTTGTATTACTTTTTATAATAGGTGATCAACTTTCTTTGTTTTTTATTCCTAAATATGTCTTTATTTTATTGTCAATCTTGATGTGTAGTTCATCTGTATACAAATTTTTAGATCACCAGTGATTTTCCCTTAGCGCTGTGGAGACATGACTCCATTGATTTCTACCATCGTTATTAAGAAGATTTATATTTTTTTTGTTTAAAACACATAATATTTAACTGTTTTGGCTTTTGATAATTTTTAAATATTCTGTATAAAATTGATATTTCATAGATTTATCACAATTTTTATTAGTCTAGATTTATATTCATTCTGCTTGATATTTGGGATACACCTTTGAGTAGAGATATGTCTTTCTTAAACTGTATTTTATTCTAACTGTAAATTCAGTAAAGGTTTACTGAATAATGACAAATATAACATTAAAATAGATGATAATCATAATAAACATAATGAAACATTTTTTCACAATGTATAATTGCCCAAAATGATAATTTAGTCTCAGTCAGTATGGTGTGTCACTCCATGTAGAAAATGTTTTGACCATTCCTCATTACTTTCAGACTAAAATATAAATTTTATTTGGATACTGATGGAAATTAAATTAGTAATTAATATAGTGTGTCAAACTATATTATGATTAAAATGCCTAAATGTTTAGATTGATTTGAAACATACTTAAGATTAAATATATATTTAGGATATTTCATGTAATTAATGAATGCACAAATAAATATGATTGTATAGTGTAAATAATTAAAATTTAAATTAGAAGTAATTGTATTAACCATTAATATATTTATTGTATTCAAGATTTCTGTTTTTTTTTTTTAGTTCTCATACTTCTACTGAGAGTCCTATCTGACAATGGAAAGTCAAATAAAATAAAAGTTTTCACCACAAAGTTCGATGTTCAAGGACTGAGCAAGTAACATAGATAAATTGTTGATATTCTTTTTTTTCTAGTTATAATGGAATTTAATGTATGCAATTTAATATTAAAAATTCAGATGCTGAACCTGATTTAAAAGGCCTGAGGAGATTCAAGAGAAACTAAGATGTGCCCCAATCCCACCCAGTATAAAGCTACATGATTTTGATGAGATCATTAACAGAATAAAATAAGAGTTAAAAACAAAAACAAAAAAAGTATTGGAGTGTACTTTGTCACCGAAGATGATTTTCTTTAGGGAAGATTTTTTTCTTCCATAAAAAAGAAAGATATTGGGGTAAGGGATGATATTGTGGGGTTGTTAGAAGGAGCATTTGTTGTAGAGAATGATTGGTGATGGCCTGGATGCAGTTTTGTATGAAATGAGAAACTAAACGGAAGACACAAGATCCGAATAAGAGAAGGAGAAAAACAGGTATTAAAGGACCAAGAATTGGGAGGACCTAGGACCTCTAATTAGAGAGTGTCCAAAGGGGTCCAAGGGGGTTTAGCATAATTACCTGCTTGGTTGGCAAGTTTTTAGGCTCTATCTTTGAGGGTTCTTTTTTAGTGTTGTCATATACCAGGCCAGATTGATTTAGGGAAAAACAGCACTCTTCACTGAAAAATATACAGAGTCCCCTCGACCTTTTTTTTTTTTTTAGCATTGAGTAAGTCGAGGCCTCAGTGATTTTGGAGGAAAGAGAAATGGAAAGCCAGCAATTGTTTATTAAAGAAGGATTAGAAATGGCTAGGAGGGAGTGGCTGAGATTGATAGAGTGGTGGAGATAGAGTGGTGGGGAAAGGTAGAGGGTGGCATAAGAACGGGAATGAGAATAAGAGTGAGTATAAAAGTAAAGAATAGGACTTCATTAGGGTGAAAGTATTGGAGTGTACTTTGTCACTGAAGATCTTCTATCCACTTAAAGAGAGACTTAAGGGTGGCAGTTTGAGGTAAAACCAGGAGCCACTCAATACCAAGAGCCTGAGAAACTGCTTGGGTGATTTGACTAGTAAGGCCAGTCCGTTATCGGACTGTATAGAGGTGGGAAGGCTAAACCGAGGAATTATGTCTGACAGAAGGGAAGAAATGACTGCGCTGGCCTTCTTTTTCCAAAATATTAGTGGACAGATGACTAAGAAAATGTACTCATTTCTCAGAGAAAAGTGAAACGGAACTACTATAGATTTTATAGTTTAAACAACTATTAGTGTAACATAAAGGTATTTAGAGTTGATGCAATGGTGCTAGTCTGTTTGAAACATGCCACAGTAGAAATATTACAAGAATATGGTAAAGAGAAAGAAACTTTTAGAGAGTGGCTGTCATGGAAGAAACATGGTAAATACTGATTTTCCTTATTGGTCGTTAGGATTAAATTTACTGAACGATCAGGTGCTTGCTACAGAAAAATAGAATGAGCTCTCTGAAAAAGCATATGTATGAAGAAATGGGGTGAGATTACTAACAGATTGCAAAAAGTGGAATGGATTTCTGCAGGTTGTAATAGTTCCTTAACATTTATGATCTTTAGGCACAGCCTGACCATACTCTGACATAACATTTCTCAATCTATGTAATTTTAAACTTTTAAAAAATACTCTAAGGAGTAAAAATGCATGATTATTTTATATGTTTATAAACTGAAAACATTAATGAAGTAGAGTTTCATTGGACTTAGAATTAAGCCTGTAAAATCAAGCAATCCATATATAAATATGTTTTCAAAGCTACTATGGCCAAAGTGCTAAATAATATTTCTCGGTATAATTTAAATCTTATGTCTCTTTCTCATAAAGGAGGAGCACTATAGTATTTTTTAAGATGAAAAGATTTTTCTAATAACAGTTTACATATATAATATATATTAATAGAGCAATACATGTATATAATATGGAATGTGTCATATATAACTAATAGAGCTAAAAACACTTAGTGAATAATCACAAGTTGATGGTTTCAAAAACTCGTGAAAAATCACTGTCATTCCATAAAGCTTGGTGTAAATGGAGTATAATTATTCAATTTGAGTGAATCATGAGTGAATCATGAGTGTACCAGACATTTTTTAGATTAATTGATCTTCCATCTCTAAAGAAAGTTGTCTCTAATATCTGAAGATTAAATGTTGTAATGGCATTAGTAACATAGTGCTGAGAATGATAGAAATATGCTAGTTTATTTATACTTGCCTAAACACTGAAGTTCTTTATCTTTATTTTGCCCCAAATACAGAAATTCTTCAAGTGGCAGCCTATGCGTTTCCTAAAATGGTGGTTTTTTAAAACAAAAATATTCATTTTATAACTAAGAAGTTTCCCTAAATTAAACTCAGGGAAGAAAACAAATAGAAGATTAAAAATTTGTAAATTTTTCCTGAATCGTGTTGAAAAAATTTTCTCACCCCAACAATGGATCTGAGTTACTTGAACCTAGCAACTAAAATGGACACACTTTTAAAACAGTGTTTTATAATAGACAAAGTTATATTGGATTTCATGGCCTCCTCAGTCTTTTACCTGAGATACTACATATTTAAATACAGAAAATATCTGGCAGTAATAAACCCTGAAATGTCATCTTCTGGTCCACTGTTTTACGGAGACTAGATATTCAGAAGTGAGGAGGGAGAGCACAGCATTGGGAATACAACACAGAGCCCACAACTCCTGCTTAACAATACTGCCACAGATAAACTCCCACTTTCCTAAAGGAGAATAAAATTATTTCACTTTGAAATGTGCTAGAGAAGTATACAACATAGGATATTAAAATAGTTGTTAAAATGGTTATGATCATAAATTGCAGTTCTATTTACTTTACGACAGTATACATATACATATAGGAGCAGATTTATTATGGTAAATACTGAGATCAGAAAACATGTGTAACTGTGTCAGAGAGTGATTACATCCAGGCATTATTGCCAGCCAAGATTGATAAATATGCCCAATAAGTATAATTGTTCTCTGTGCCAGCCCTTGTTGAAGGAATACTCATGGAAATGGTGATCAACTCTATTACAGCTACCATTAGACCACTCATTGTGACTGGTTGTCCTGCTTTCCTCAGGTTTTCTTCTGCCATCTGTGACAGCTTCTTGACCTGTCCCCAGGTAGGTGGTTGTGTTCAACAGGGGTTGCACATGATAGTTGGGGTCCTCTTCAGTGTCAGTCTCAACATGGCTACAACTGGTGGGTCCTTGGAATCCTCCCGGAATCTATTCCTCAGCATCTGGCTCATGATAACGTCTTGATGGTATCCAAATCAGCTGTTGATTCGGTCCTGGAGAAACAGAAGCATAACTTCTACCTGAAGTTATTATTTTACCTATTTCCCAAATTTTTATTATCAGATCTCTCCACCAAACCAGTTGTTCTCCTTCTGTCTTTGTAGCTGGTTTGTGTAGATGCTGTTCAGCTGCTGCTAACATCTGGCCTTTAGGCAGGCTAAAAAAATTTAAAGTTAATAATGCTAGATTCAATTTTATGTGCGCTGTCCCATAATCCATTTCCCCCTTTCTGTTTTTGCAACTGCTGTTTCAGGGAGAGATTCATTCTTTCCACTATGGCTTGTCCTTGAGAATTATATGGGATACCAGTAATGTGTTTAATATTCCATATAGAGAAAAATATAGCTAGAGCTTGGCTAGTATAGCCTAGGGCATTATCTGTTCTAATAGAAGCTGGAATGCCCATAACTGCAAAACACTGCAAAAGGTGACGTTTAATACAGGCAGAAGACTCTCCTGATTGGCATGTAGACAAGTGAGAAAAGGTGTCCGCACATACATGTACATAAGCTAGTCTTCCAAATGAGGGAACATGTGTGACATCCATTTGCCAAAGAGAATTAAGTTCCAATCTTCAAGGATTAACTCCTCCTGTAAAAGATGAGGAACGCACCATTTGGCAAGTTGGGCATTGCTGGATAATAGCTTTAGCTTCTTTCCAGGTAATGCTGTATCTGTGTTTGAGACCAGAGGCATTAACAGGGGTTAAATTGTGAAAGTGTCGAACATTAGATATTGCATTAGCAACTAGGCAATCAGCCATTTAAATCTCTGCAGTTAAAGGTCCTGGAAGATGCATATGAGCCCTAACGTGGGTGATGTAAAAAGGGTGCATTCTACTCCTAACTGCTGTTTGCAATTGGGTAAATAAGGTCATCAGTTGTTCATCTGTATGAAATTGTAACTGAGCATTTTCAATTATCTGTGTGGAATGAACCACATCTGAAGAATCAGAAATCACATTAATAGGCATATTAAAAGCAGTGAATACCTCAATTAACAGCTTACAAGCTCTGCTTTTTGAGCTGAACTATAGGGCGTCTGAAAAACTTTACTTTTCAAGCCAGAATAAGAAGCTTTACCATTACTAGACCCATCTGTAAAAACATTTTCAGCACTTTCAAATTGGTTTACATTTAGTTATTTTAGGGAGAATCCAATTAGTTAATTTCAAAAATTCAAACAGTCTTGTTTTAGGAAAATGATTATTGAGAATACCCACAAAGTCAGCTAAATGGGTTTGCCAAGTAAGACTATTTATAAAACTTGCTATATTTGTGCCTTCGTGAGAGGGACAATAATTTTTCCAGGATCATATCCATGTAATTTAACAATCCAAGTTCTCCCATTTCCTATCGTAGTAGCGATAGAGTCTGTGAATTAGTATGTGGAAGAAAAAGCCACTCTACTAAGTCCTGCTCTTGGACAATAACACCAGTAGGTGAATGCTGAGTTGGAAAAATTAGCAAATCAAGAGTCTTCTCTGGATCTATTCTATTTATTTGAGCTTTATGGACTTGCTTTTTGATTAGCTGCAGCTCTGCCTCAGCTTCTTTTGTTAATTGCTGAGGGCTAGTGAGACCAGGATCTCCTCTAAGGATAGAAAATAGATTACTCATGGCATAGGTAGGAAAGCCTAGAGCAGGTCGTATCCAGTTAATGTCCCCTAGTAACTTTTGAAAGTCTTTTAATGTTTTCAATTGATCCCTACGTATGGTTACTTTCTGTGGCACAATGGTAGTGTCATTTACTAAGGTACCCAAGTAGGAGTAAGGAGTAGTAGTCTGAATTTTGTCAGGAGCTATAATTAAACCAGTGCGAGAAATCAAATTTTGCAAGTGATCATAACATTGGAGTAATACTTCTTGAGTGGGGGCAGCACAAAGGTATCATCCATATAATGAACAATGTAACTCTGAAAATTTTTTATGAGTGGGTTTAATTGCTTGCCCTACATAAGTCTGGCAAATGGTTGGGCTGTTTAACATGCCTTGTGGTAACACTTTCCAGTGAAAATGCTTAGCAGACTGCAGGTTGTTTACTGCAGGAATTGTAAATGCAAACCATTCACAGTCCTGCTCAGCTAAGGGGATAGTAAAGAAAGAGTCTTTTAAATCTGTGATGATTAAAGGCCAATTTTTTGGAATCATAGCAGGAGAAGGCAATCCTAGCTGTAATGGCCCCATAGGTTGTATAACTGAATTAATGGCTCTTAAGTCAGTTAACATTCTCCATTTACCTGAGTTTTTCTTAATTACGAAAACTGGAGAATTCCAAGGGGAAAATGTTGGAGCTATATGTCCATTTTCTAATTGTTCAGTAACTAATTCCTCTAAAGCCTCCAGTTTCTCTTTACTTAGTGGCCATTGTTCTATCCAAACTGGCTTATCTGTTAATCATTTTAAAGGCATAGGTTCTGGAGGCTTAACGATGGCTGCCATCAAAAATGATATCCTAAACCTTGGCGGGAACTTTGTCTTTCCACCTGAAGTGTTTCCCTCAAACCTTGCAAATTTTTTCCTAGTCCCATACCGGGACAAACCCCATTTCATGCATTGTATGTTGACTCTGAGGGCTATATAATTGTTCTGGAATTAGAACTTGTGCTCCCCATTGTTGTAATAAATCTCTTCCCCATACATTTATAGGTACAGAAGTTATAATTGGTTGAATAGTCCCAGATTGTCAATTGGGCCCTTCACAATGCAAAATATAACTACTTTGATATACTTCAGGGGCTTTACCAACTCCAACTATGTTAAATTGAGTAGGTTGAATTGGCCACATGGATGGCCAGTGTTGTAGAGAAATGATTGAAATGTCTGCTCCTGTATCTACCAAACCTTTACATTTCTTTCCCTGAATACTTATTTCACAGGTAGGACGTTTGTCAGTAATTTGAGTCACCCAATAAGCTGTGGCCTTGTTTATTTGTGTTTCCAAATCCTCCTGTTTGTTTAATTTCACTTTTCCTCATTTCTGCATATGGCACAATCAGGAACTGTGTTATACGCTCTCCTGGTTCTACTTTCCAGGGAACAGAAGTAGATATAACAATTTGAATTTCCCCATTGTAATCTGAATCAATGACTCCTGTTTGTATTTTTACCCCTTTTAAATTTAAACTGGACCTTCCTAGAAGTAATCCTATTGTCCCCACTGGCAAGAGTCTACAGACCCCTGTTCGAACTTTTCGCAGGGCTTCCCCAGGCAGAAGGCTCACAGCTTTTGTGCGGCATAAATCTACTGTGGCATTACTGCTTATGGCAGGGGACAGACATCGTATACTGGGATGAGAGAAGTAGTCAATAAAATATGGTTTTATTAAAATACCAGTTTCTAACTAGTGTTCTTAAGTTATACATATACTTCTAATTTCCACTTACAATGTTTCAAAATTCTTTGTATTGAGTGTGCTGTTAATTTGTGGTATTTGGTTTTATCTTTAGAAATGAATCTAAATTTTTTTTGTAATAATTTACTCAAAATATAATTTTATGCATATTTCTACAGGTTCAAGATTGGCTGTAACTGATACAACATGGTTTATTTTGTTAATTTTTATTTTATTATGCTGAGAACACTTAACAGGAGATCTATCCTCCCAACAAAATTTTTAAGTATACAGTATGCTATTGTTGACTATAGGCACGTTGCTGTACAGCACATATCTAGAGCATATTCATCTTGCTTGACTGAAATTTTGTGCCTATTGATTAGAAACTCCTCCACATTCCTTTTCTTTCTGCTTCCGGAAGCCACCATCCCACTCTTTGATTTTATAAATTTGACTGTTTTAGATATCTCATATACTTGGAATCACATAGTAGTTGTCTCTGTGACTGCCTTATTTCACTTAGCATAATGTCCTCAAGATTCATTCATGTTGTCCATATTGCCACATTCTCTTGTTTTCTAAATCTGACTAGATATCATTGTGTGTATATTCAATATTTTCTTTATCTTTTTATCTGTTAATGGACATTTAGTTTTTGCATGGCTACTGTAAATAGTGCTACATTAAACATAGAAGTGTTAATAATCTCTTTGAGATCATGATTTCAATTCTTTTGTATAAATACCCAGAAGTAAAACTGTTTTTTCATATGGTGGATGTACTTTTAAATTTTTTAGTAACTTCCAGTCTGTTTTTCACAGTTGCTTCACCATTTTGAATTCCTGTCAAACATATACAAAAGTTCAAATTTATTCACTTCATGACTAACATTTTTTTCTTATTTTTTATAGTAGCATCCTGTTACACCTGGTTTATTTCTAAATTAAATAACAGGGGTTTTATATATAAACATTAAGATTGAGCACCCCTATATAAGCTAAAACTTAGTAGAATTATCCACATTTTTCTTGTTACTTTGCCAACACAATGTTTATTTCAAAGCAATACACTGTTAGAATTAAAATTAGATGCCCTTGGAAAGTAGAATATCATTAACAAATTTGCCAAATGCTTTTTGAGGATATAATACGTTTGAACTTTTCATTAATGTGCTACTTAGCTTATTCTGAAAATTCTAGCTCTGGTTTAGGCTCATATTTAGGTATAGATGATTACATATAGAAATATTACAAATATGAGCATATACATTTGTCAGTATACAGATATATTTTATTTCTCTGTCTGTCAGTGAATTGGGGCTTGAAACAATGATACCCCAGTAGAAACAAGCACACTTAGTGTTCTGATATTGGCTGATCATATTACTCTTTAATTAAAAAGAAAAAAAAACACAGAGCTCCTTGGAGAAATGGCTTCAGACTCATCTTGTATATTTTCTGCTCCCATCCTAATTCTACAAGCAGAAAATATACAAGATGAGCCTGAAGCATTTTGCACTGCCAGAAAGTAAGGATAAACTTACTAAAAAAATGATGGCATAATAAAAGGACGCAGAAGCCAAATAAACAGGCTCCCAAAAGCTAAAACTGAAATAATCTGAGAAATAAATTACATTAAATAGTACTGAATTATAATCCAAGTATAAAATAAATATGCATGAGTCCATATTGATGTAAATAAATAATTAAATAAGCAAATACATTGGAGAGAATGAATAATGCTTTTCTATAAAATAATTCCAAATTACTTATGAGGACACTCTGCCCTAAAAGAGGGGAGGAAAACTTTTCTACTCTTTAAGACACAGTTGTGAATAGTAATTTTCTTCCAAACAATGCATGAAAATGGGGAGAAACAAAAAACTTTTTGGGGCCAGTACCTGAGTACAGGTATTCAGCCAGGATGCTTAAGTAGTAGTAGTTGTTTTTGTTGTTGTTGTTGTTGTTGTTGTTTGAGACAGAGTTCCGTTCTTCTTCCCCAGGCTGGATTGCAATGGCACAGTCTCGGATCACTGCAACCTCTGCCTCCCAGGTTCAAGTGATTCTCCTCTCTCAGCCTCCCAAGTAGCTGGGATTACAGGCTCCCACCACCACTCCTGGCTAATTTTTGTATTTTTAGTAGAGATAGGGTTTCACCATGTTGACCAGGCTGGTCTCAAACTCCTGACCTCAGGCAATCCACCCCCCTTGGCCTCCCAAAGTGCTGGGATTACAGGCATGAGCCACTGTGCCCGGTCAGGATGCTTAAGTTTAACACCAACAATGACAAGCTTCTTAGGAGTCTGTACTCTTGATAAGATATGATAAAAAATAGCATTTTATCTCTATGGTCTTTTTTCAAAAAAAATGTCTTTATAACTTCAGTCTCATAATGAGAAAATATTATGAAAATCCCAATTGAAAGACATTCTATAAATACCTGAACGTTACTCTTGACAAAAGAAATCATCTGAAGACTGAAAGCTCACTGGTAAAAGTAAAAAACAGAGATGATAACTACAACACTTTTTAAGAGATAGGCAATATGAAAATATATAAGTTGAGGCAACAGAAAGTCAGGGGTGGAATTAATGTACAGAGGTTTTAGTGTTGCTTATTTGTATGGTTTTGTTTTGCAATCAAAATTAGGTTGTTAGTTTTGAAAGACTTGTTATAACTATAAGGTATTTTTTTGTAAGGCTCATGAGCTACAACATATAAGAAATACACTTAAAAAGAATAAATTATAAATCATATTACCAAAGAAAATCACTAAACAAAGAAAAACAATAAGAAATTTTAAAAAAATGAAGGGAGAATTTACAAAAACACCAGAAAACAAGTAAAACAGTGAGAGTAATGAAATTTTAACTATTAATAACAACATTAAATGTAAATGGACTAAATTATCCAATTAAAAGACATACTGTGGCTTTTGGGACAAAAAAGTAGAAAGACAGAACTGTGTGTTGACTATAAGAAACTTCTCCTACAACAACATGGACCAATAATGAGTAATGAGTGAGAAGCAGTAATAAAAATAATAATAGAATCCTATCAAACATAAGCCCAGACCTGAATGGTTTCACTGATAAATTTTGCCAACATTTAAAGAAAAAGTAATACCAATTCTACTCAAACTATTCCAAGTAATTAAATGTTAATAAGAGGAAATTCTTCCAAGCTCATTCTAAGTGGCCAGCATTACACTCATCCGAAAACCAGACTAAGACACAATAAAAAAAGAAAACCACAAGCACTAGTATTTCTGATGAATATACATGCAAAAATGTTCAATAAAATGCTAGCAAACATAATTCAACAATACATTAAAAAATTATGATCTAGTGATCATGATTACCCATGGATACAAAGATGTTTTAACATATGCAAATTGGCAAAAAATGTGGTTCTTACTGTTTTGTAGTATGTTTCTTCTACATGCCAGAACAATTAGACAATAGAAAGAAATAAATAGTATCCAAAGAAAAAGTTAAATTGTCCTCGTTTACAAATGACATAATCTTATATTTAGAAAGCATAAAGTTTCCACCAAAAAAAAACCGCTTAGAATCAATAAATAAATTCAATAACATTGTCAGATACAAAATCAATACACAAAAGTTAGTAGCAAGCCAGGCACAGCAGCTTATGCCTGTAATCCCAGAACTTTGGGAACCTAAGTTGGGAGAATTGCTTAAGCCCAGGAGTTTGAGGTCAGCCTGGAAAATGTAATGAAACCTTACCTCTAACAAAAACAATTTTAAAATTAGCTGGATGTGGTAGCACGTGCTTGTGGTCCCAAATACTAAGGAAGATGAGTTGGGAGAATTGTGTGAGCCTGGGAGGTTGAGGCTGCAGTGAGCCATGATCATACCACTGCACTGCAGCCTGGGTGACAGAGTGAGATACTATCTCAAAAAAAAAAAAAAAAAAAAAAAAAAAGAGTAGCATTTCTATATGCCAATAGCTAACTATCTAAAAAAGAATTCAAGAAAGCAATACCATTTACAATAGCTACAAAAAATTACCAAGAAATAAATTAAACTAAAAAATTCCTACAATGAAAACTATAAAACACTGATGAAAGAAATTGAATATGACATGAAAAATTTTAAAAAATCCATGTTCACGGATTGGAAGAATTAATACTGTTAAAACTTTCATACTACCTAAAGCAATTTATAGATTTAATGCAATACCTACTAAAATACTAATAATATTCTTCATAGAAATTTTTTTAAAAATCCTAAAATTCATATGGAACCACTAAAGAACCAGAGTAGCCAAAGTAATCCTGAGAAAAAAGAACAAAGCTGGAGGCATAATGCTAACTGAAATCATAATGTACCACACAGCTGTAATAACCATAACAGCATGGTACTGACATAAAAACAGAAACATAAACCAGTGGGACAGAATAGAGAACTCAGAGAACACAGTTGAATTTATATTCAACACATTCTCAACAAAAGCACCAAGAAAATACATTGGAGAAAGGACAATCTCTTCAATAAATAATGGTAGGTAAACTTGGCATCCATATGTAGAAGAAAACAACTTTTATGTCTCTCCCCATACTGAAAAATCAAATCCAAATGGATTAAAACTTTAATGCAAGACCTGAAACTATGAAACTACTTGAAGAAAAGATTGGGGAAATGCTTCAGGAGATTAGTCTGGGCAAAGAATTTTTGAGTAAAACCTCAAAACGATAGGCAACAAATGCAAAAATTAACAAATGGTATTAAACTAAAAAGCTTTTGCACATCAAAGAAAATAATAAAGTGAAGAGACAGCCTGAAAAATAGGAGAATATGTTTTCAAACTATCTATCCAACAAGGGATTATTAACAAGTATACATAATAAAATGTAATATCTCAATAGCAACAAAACAAATTTAAAAATCCAATTTTAAAAGTGGCCAAAAGTTCTGAGTAGACATTTCTCAAATTATGACATATTAATGGTCAACAGGTAAATGAAAAAATGCTCAATATCACTTATCATCTATCTGGGAAATGCAAATAAAAAGCACAATGACTTATCATCTCACCCCAGTAAAAATGGATGTTATAAAAAGACATAAAATAACAGATGCTGCTGAGGATGTGGAGGAAAGGAAATACTTCTACATTGCTAGTAAAAGTGTAAATCAGTATAATAATTTTGGAAAACAGTATGAAGTTTCCTCAAAACATGCAAAGTAGAACTGCCATATGATCCAGGTATTCCACTGCTGGGTATATATCCAAAAGAAAGAAAATGTCAAAGAGATATGTGCATTTCCATTTTTATTGCAGCACTATTCAGAATAGCTCAGCTATGGAATCGACTTAAGTGTTCATTAACAAATGAATGGATAAAGAAAACTGGTATATATACACATCATGCAGTAAGCTCAACAGATGCAGAAAAAGTATTTGGCAAAATCTCAACTTAAATTCTTTAAAGTAATCAAGAAATAAGATATAACTGAATATTGTTATCTGCCTCAAAACAATGAAATTATAAAAGCTATAGCTGATAATATAATTATTGGTAAAATATTGAATGCTTTTCATTTAAGATTGAGCAAAATGGAAGGACTTTATCCTTTTTACTTGGAATTTTATTGGTAGTTTTAGCTAGTGCAATCAGGGAAAAAACTTGCAATAAAAAAATGGAATCATATTGGAAAGGAAGAAGAAAGACGGTCTCTATTTTTATCTATTATGGTTGTTTACATAGAAAATCAAAGGGATATACCCAACAATTATAAGAACTAATGAAATAAAGATTTTTGCATTCCACTTTATGTAAATATTGCCTAAAAACAAAGAAAAAAAATGAACAAATAAATCCGTAAATAAACACAATATCTGGATAGTTATGTCACATGTCAGTTAAAAAACTACCCTTCACTCCTTCCCTTACTATGCTCTATCTCGTGCACAGGACTAGTAGTATATAAATACTAAAACATATAGTATTTAATATTCACCTACCACAATAATTATTTCCACTGAGTTGGCACACAGAAAGTTGTTCATAATATAGAAGCCGTGCTTACTATTTCTGAATGGATACTATGAAAGTTTTATAACAAAATGTTCTCTCTACTAATTAGAGAAAGCTTCGCTCTAAAAATTGTAGGAAGACATCTGGTTTAAATACGTTTACATATGCATGTACTGTAATACATTTTCTAAATAGGCTTCCGGGTTCTGCTGGTCATTTTGACATCTCAGAGGGTAAAATCAGTGTTTTAATAAATCTGGTAGACCAGCCTACATAATATCTGAAAATTCAGTATGCAACTTCAAATAATAAGTTCATTTATTTAGGTGGGAAAATATCAAATTTATGAATAGAATTACTAAACGTACAGTGGCTTCACATTTAATTTAATAATATCAAAATAGCCACAAAAAATTCATAGACTAAGTTACATGTTTCTCCACTACTTTTATAAAGTCATTTTGTTGTTGTTGTTCTAAGGCTTTTAACCTCTAAAGTATTCCTCTCTCTTATGCAGGGAAGTCAACAGCTCCACTAAAAATGCTGCCAGGTTTCCTAGCTGTAGGGATGAAAAAGCCTTTAGAGTTATTCTTGGTAATACATGTCAAGATTGAAGGATTCCACAACTTTCTCACAGTTAGCTCTTTATTTCCGGGATTTTTTGTTCGTTTATTTTTTTATTTTTATTTTCTTTATTTTTTTGAGAGGGAGTCTCGCTCTGTTGCCCAGGCTGGAGTGCAGTGATGCGATCTCAGCTCACTGCAACCTCCACCTCCCAGATTCAAGTGATTTTCTCATCTCAGCCTCCCAACATACATACATAGCCTGCAGCTGGGACTACAGGCGCCCGCCACTACGCCCTGCTAATTTTTGTATTTGAATAAAGATGGGGTTTCACCATGTTAGCCAGGGTGGTCTTGAACTCCTGACCTCAATTGATCTGCCCGCCTCTGCCTCTCAAAGTGCTGGGATTACAGGCGTGAACCACCGCGCCTGGCCTCATTATATCTTAACTGGTGAAAAAAAAACTTTTTCAGAATATTTTTTCTTTTATTCTGTCTTTAATAGATACGGAGAAGAATTACTTAGAAGTTGTAGTTTAGCGACTCGGCGAGGTGGCTTACGCCTGTAATCCCAGTACTTTGGGAGGCCAGTGGGCGGATCACGAGGTCGGGAGATCTAGACCATGCTGGCTAACACGGTGAAACCCCGTCTTTACTAAAAACACACACACACACACACAAATTAGCTGGGTGTGGTGGCGGGCCCCTGTAGCCCCAACTACTCAGGAGGTTGAGGCAGGAGAAAGGCGTGAAACCAGGAGGCAGAACTTGCAGCGAGCCGAGATCGCGCCACTGCTCTCCAGCCTGGGCGACAGAGCAAGACTCCGTCTCAAAAAAAAAAAAAAAAAAAAAAAGAAGTTGTAGTTTAGTTTGTCATTTTTTTCTGATTATAAGTCCCTTAAAATGTAAGAAACATGAAGTGTAGGAGGTCTAATAAGATAATAAATTGATCAAAGTTGATCTACATTACAGTAAACGTTTCCATTGAATAATTAGAAATATATCTGCAAAAATATGTGTAGTTATATAGTTTGTATGTAGACATATAACTGTATGCATAGTTACAAAAATTATACATAATATATAGTATATACAAATTTACATAATATATATGGTAATATATAATTTTGCTTACTTGATATATTAAATATTGAGACAGACATATTAGAATCTCCCTTTGGGTTTGGGTTGACAATATCTTTTTGAACTCTCAATTTTGTTTTGAATATTTTTGAGCTATGTTGAAGGTAAATAATGGACAATAATTGGAGCATCTTGGTTAATTGAACATTTTATTGAATCTTTGGTCTCTGCGTGGCTCATTATTTTTTTGATAGGTAGCAAAATATGATGAAAAAACAATTTATAAGCTAGACTTTCATACCTTAACATATGAAGCATAGCGTCAGCAAAATAATAATAATAATAATATGGCTGCTGTTTATTTAGAAACTACTTGGTTACTCACATATAATATCCAGAATTCTCAAAGCTCTTCACAATATTTATTGCTATGAGAGATGTAAGTCTCAACATACAGAAATAAATAACGAGGATCACAGAATTACTAAGTAATCAAGATTCAAGTAAAACATGCATTACTGATGCCATATCTGTGCTTTCTCCATTATAAAATGATAACTTTAAGGCTCTGATTCTTTACTTGTGTATTTAATAATTTGTCAAACTGCCTATATATTTTAAGGTGACTAATCATATTATCAACTTTTTATTTTCCAAAATTTCAAACCAAAATAAATAGACAAACTCCATTCTCTACTACTATAATGTCTTAAAGGAAGGACTTTATAAAATTACACTATATTGGTAAGACAGGCCATAATTATAGAAATGTACTTTGATATGAACTAGCATCTAAGAATTCATGTATCAAAGTGTTTTGGGTGTAATCATATTTTTCAATATTATAATTATTATTATCTCATTGTTATTATTGTTCTTGTTAAAGCTTAAACGATTACATGGAATTGAGTTAGCATTCTAATATTTTGATTAGCAGCTTCCCTCTTTTCTAAGTAGTGTTGAGTCAGTCAATCCTCTATAGTCATGGACCTATTTTCCTCTTTTACAAAGATAACTGGCATATATATCTATCAAATTATATTATTAGAAGTATGACTTTGCCACCTAAATATATTGATAGAAGGAAAAATTTGCCTGTCTATAATTATTGTGATTATATTCCACTGGAAAAGCTAGAGGTTAAATATTTGCTTGTGTTTTTATCAATTTACCTGTTTATTTTATAACTGGTAAGACAAAGCATTGTTAAACTACTACAGTTCATCAGTACTTACTAAAGTAAAACTTTCATTCGTATTCTGTTTTTTGCTTCAGAAAACAAATCTATGTTAAGAGTTGCTTATACGTCTATTACTAACTTCTTTTTACATGTTATTTTTATTAAAAATAATATTATTTAATTCCCTTTTAGGAATAATTTACCTCTAAATACATTCTTTGAACTTTGTTTACCTAGAATGTTTTATTTAAATATAAATGTTTTTTTTAAAAAAAAAACAAGAAATCTCATCAAACAAAAACATTGGTAGTACAACCATAAACAATTCTTACCTAAATTTGTTTCTTTCATTATTATTTTTAAAAGGAACTAAGTAAATTAATTTTATCGGTCACCATAAAAATTGTCAGCAATAAATATGCATTGAGTGCTTTTGTTGTGTGTATATTGAGTTCACGATTATTGTATTCCTTTTCAATCTCATTTTAATATCCCATAGTCTTTCTCTGTTGAATTGTTATATGTCACCTCATTATTATTCTTTTATACTTTTTCTCAATTGTGTAACTTATTTAACACTACCTTTAAAAGAGTTTTTTTCCTTCTTCCCATTTGCATTTATGTAATATCTCTCCACAATTCAACTAGATACCAATAAAACAAAATTACTGCATAAATCCATTTTTAATCTTGCTTCTTTCCATGTGAATTTTTAACATGAATTGATTAAATATTTCTAGGAGCCATTATTGTGAAAACAATTTGGGTCTAGAAGAAATAAAGGTTAAAGCTTAAATGTTCATGGCTACACTATTTTCTAAAATGCTCTCAGATGTTTCTTCAATAGCAAACCATTTGGGTAAGGGCTCTAACTATTTAATAATAATATTAGAAAGAATTTTCAGTGAGCAGGAATACATATTACCATCCATGTATTGTGTTAAAAATTCAATTTTAATTAAGAAACAAGTAGTATCATGTTTGTACAATTGTCTTTCTAATTATTTGACTTGCCTTTATATGCTAAAATCAAGTTTTTCTTTCCTGCAACAACTTCATCAGCAGAAATAGTTACTACTTGGTTAGAAATAAAACAGTGACACTTACTGGAGGGAATTACTTTGCATCCTAGTGGTATAATTTTGATTTAGATCTACAAAGGAAAATGTATCTTCCAATTGAGATACAGCATAAGGGATAGCATTTAATTTAATAAAATTCAATGTTTGGAAGGAAAATTTTGAAGCATTTCATTTAAATTCATTGGTTTCATTCAAAATAAACTTTGCAACTTATAAAACGTCCAATTTCCTAAAGGAATTGTTAGTAGCTGCACTCTTAAATGATGGATAAATGAGTCTGCAAAGAAAGGGAATTAATGGGTTATCATCATTAAACTGATAAGTTCAAATGTTATTGTTATAAACTAAAAAGACCGTGAAGATGTTATTAGATAGAAGGATGAATAAATGATGACCTTCTTAATAATGACAGTTTGAAATTTTATATTTTGCAATAATTGATCTTATGAATTTTTCTTTTTACAAATGAACATAAAATTTGGGAGGTTCTTTTTACTACTTATTTTTTATATTATTCTTACAGATTAAAAATGTCTGGCAAATATAGAATTCTGATTTTGAGCTCAGGTTGAAGGTTAACATTTATTAAACATATGTTCACGTGTCATATATGTGTGTAGATGTGTGTGAGTGCATATATCTATTTCTTTGACAGAATCATTTCAGCATTCGAATTTTGTTGTATCTTCTTCAGAAAATTCTAAAATTATTTGTTCTAGCATCTTTAAAGGTTTTGTGACTTTTATTTTATTTTATTTATTTATTTTGAGACAGGGTCTTGCTTTGTCACCCAGGCTGGAGTCAGTGGCACTATTTTGGCTCACTACAATCTCCATCTCCAGGCTCAACCAATCCTCCAACCTTAGCCTCCCAAAGTGCTGGAATTTCAGTCGTGAGCCACCAGTGCCCAGCCTATGATATTTTAATGTATATATACTTTTTTCATAAGCTTGAGCTGGTTTTGTAATACATTTTCTTATTTTTGTATTTTCCTGTATTTTTCAATTCAATATTATTTTGCATCAGTTATATGTATTTAAAATGAGTAATATATAACTGAAATTATAGAAGCAAAAATATCATAACTGTTATAATACAAAACAGTGGAGAGTCACATCTCAGTGAGTAATTAGGGATAACTTAAAGATAAAAGAAGCATTTGGTTAGCTTTGAAGCTTGATCAGTTACTGACTTGCCATATTGCCATTATTAAGGCAGATTTAGGGCCAGACTGATTGGAATCTCAAGAATAGATCATGGTAAGTTTTAGTATAACATTTCATCACAAAAAGGGGTTGATGTAAACTTAATAATTAATATTAGTACTGTGTATTCCAAAGTATTTTTAATCACTTGAATAAAAAAAGTTACGATAGTAAAAACAAACAAACATCAATTAAAAATAGGCAGTGGACTTAAATATTTCTCCAATGAAGTCATACAAATGGCTGAAAGATATATTAATAGTTGATAGACATCACTAATCATTAGGAAAATGCAAATTAACATTGCAATGAGATATCTCTCATATGTTAAGATAGCTATTATCGACAAAACAAAAGGTAACAAGTGTTGGTGAGGATACAGAAAAATTGTAACCCTTCTACACTAATGGTGTGAATGTACAATGGTGCAAATACTATTGAAAACCAAAGAATGTTCCCCCCAAAATTAAAAATAGTACTCTCATATGATGTAGTAATTACACTTGGGGGTATAATGGTCAAAAGAATTAAAATCACGATCTCAAAAATATTTCTGCACTCCTATGTTATTAAAGCATTATTCACTATAGCCAAGAAATGGAAACAACCCAAATATCTATCAATAGATGAATGGATAAAGAAAATATGGCATATACATAAATGAAATAGTATTCAACCTTAACAAAGAAAATTGCCATTTTCAATAACATGGATGAACCTGAAAGACATGACTGTTACAGAAGAACAAATACTGCACAATTCCACTTAGATCAGGTATCTAAAATAGTCTAACTCAAAGAAGAAAGTATTAAGTGGTTGCCAGGGCCTGAGAGGAGGGGGTATGGAGAATCATTGTATGGTGGGTATAATGTTTTAGCTATGCAAGATAAGTAAGTTCCAGAGATCTGCTGTAAACATAGTGACTATAGTTAACAATATGGTATTACACATTTAAAGTTTTGTTATGAGGATAGACTTCATGTTACATATTCTTATCACACAAAAAAAGAGGCACAAGCAGGCATTTAGAGGCAATGAATACGTCTATCATCTTTATGGTAGTGATGGTTTTATGGGCCTATGCATATAGATAAACTCATCAGAATGTTTGCATGAAATATGTGGAGTTTTTGTATATCAATTATACCTCAATAAGGTTGTTAAAAATCAAAATAATAAATAAATGTTATAATGCAATATATGGGAAAAAAGTCACTGAAGAAAGAAGTCAGGAAAATCAGATTTTTTTTCCCTTCTCCTTGTTCCCCTTTCTCCTCCTTCCTTCCACCTCTCCTCCTCCTTCTCCTTTTTTCCTCGTCTTCTGGATAGCACTTGGACATCATTTGGATTTGGATTTGAAAATGACTTAGTTAGGAAGAAAGTTCTGAGTTCTGATTTCTATCAAAAGTTGCATATGCAAAAAAATCAATCAACATGGTAAAAAAGGATTTAATATTTAGCTAACTGAAAGAAACATATTGAGCTGATGTACTTTAAAATTTCTTAGCATTTTCTCCCCCTACATCCTAGTAAGTGTATTCCCTTTTTTCAGGCAACAGTTTTGCCAAAAGTAGCTCTTAGGAAGCTACATATCATATCATTCCCTTCCGCTGACAATCAGAAATTGATTTGGGACTTAAGCTGAGCAATAGTATTTTTTTGTTTGTTTTTTGAGACGGAGTCTCTCTCTGTCACCCAGGCTGGGGTGTAGTGGTGCAATCGTGGCTCACTGCAAGCAATAGTCTTTCTCTAGTACTTCTCCAAAGAAAAGACATTTTAAAAATATAATTTATAATTTTATATTAGTAATAAATAGTTTATGTTACATAGTGCTCCATAAACAGGAAAAACATTATGCCATTAAGGAAATACTCATACCTTCTAGTGTTGATTAAAACAAAAATCTAAATATATGAAATCAGAATATTTAACAACATTATAACAATGTGCCTATAAGTGGATAAGGTTATTATTATGTTATTGGTAGGAAAAATTAAAACAAATTTTTTCCCAGAGGGAAAATTAATTTACCTCAAGCTCATTTTATGCTGAAAAAAAGACTAAACTTTTTAAATTCAAATATACTTTTTTATAAATAAAAATATTTCCTCAAGAGTGATAGAGTGATTTCCTACAGTTTATAGCTGTCTAATGACAGAGAATAAATGATATAATTCCATTATCCTTGTTCCTAGTCCATCTTTGAACACAAATACAATAAAATATCAATACATTATGCTATTACAATCATTAAGTCTTCCAACAAATATTTGTTGTGTGCTTACTCTTTACCAGGAACTGTGCTAAATTTTGAGACAAAATAGTCACTTCCCACAGACCACCAATTAAACACATAGTTAATCATACAGGTGATGCTGACAATTTAGTAAACATTAGAACATAGTGTGGTGATTTTCCTGATATAAAAATAAGGATGTATGTAATTACATGAAAGGAGAATGAAGTTTCATTAAAGAAAATGAGGAAACAAAGACAACTAAAATCTATGTAATGGTTACTCCTATGAAAGAAAGGTTCAACACAGGACTTACATTTTCTACAAAGGAGAATAGCAGTTCTAAACTCCTACACTATAAAAAATGAGGTGTATTTAAAGATTTATTTCTTTGGTCTTCAGGGTTAAGTAAGAGTCATCTATTGAAAGTCTATGTAAGCCATATAAAGGGTTTACCTTAAGTATATTGCAAAAACATCCAAGGATCTTAATAAAGTAGATTAAATTAAATTTTTTTATGGTTAAACTCTAACTTAGAGAATGGCTTGAAATGAGTAAAAAAACCTAAAAAGGAAAAAAAGAATTAATAACAATATAAAAAATATATAAAATATATAGATTCAAATATAAGAAATATTGAACTAATAAGATATCATCAACATTTTTTGTTACTTAGTTTGAAAATTTAAATGAAATAAACACATTTTTGAAGAGTATAATGTACCACACTGACTAAATAAACAAAGGAAAGTCTAACAAGCTGTATATGATACATGGAATGATGCCCCGCCTAAATATATGAACATCACAATCCGTGGAAGTTGTAAATGTGTTATCTTAAATGACAAAAATAACTTTGCAGATGTGCTTAGGTTAAGGACCTTAAAATGGGAATTTTTTTTTTAATTATGAGTAGTCCTAATCTAAGCAAGTAAGTCTTAAAACTAAAAATATTTTCTAGCGATGGTATGAGGGAGATGTGAGTACAAGAGAGATAGAGGGATGCAATATTGCTTGTTTTGAAGGTGAAGAAAGGAAACTTCTAGAAGCTAAAAAAGGCTAAGAAATTTGATTTTAGTACCATGAAACCCCTATCAGACATCTATACTACCGACGTGTCAGATAACAAATTGTGATATTTTATATCACTGTTTGTGATAATTGGTTACAGTAGCAATAAAAAACTGGCATGCCAAAGTTACAAACATTATCAGAAAAAAAATGAAAAGGCAGTTTTAGAGGGAAATTTAAGTAAAATTTTAGGAAATATCCTTAAAACCTTAACAAAAATCATTTGGAGATTTTTAAAATATTGGAATATTCTCTAACTTATTTTATTCAACTAGTAACAAATTCAGGAAAGGACAATATAAAAACTAAATTAAAGGTTCATTTCACTCATAAATATAAGTACAAAAATCCCAAACAAAATATGGGCAGACTGTAGTGGACACTGTTGTGCATAACTCAGATCTCCGCTTCAGGATTGAGACAATATTTCACCAGCTGCCAGGATTTGGACTGTTGAAGACCCCGAACTTAGTGACTTCCAACCCCTTTTTATACAGCCTTATTGTTTTTCTGGGTTAGGAATTTGGTCATGGCCCAGCTAGATGATTCTTTCAGTCCAAATGATGTTGATGGGAGATAATCAATAGAATTTATCTGTTAGATAAGTTGATCAGAAGGGTATACAAGGTCTCTTCAAATTAATGATGCCTTTGCAGGCATTGCAAAGAATCTGGATGAGCTGAGCCTGTCAAATGGCATTCTTCTCTGTGAACTCTCTATCATGGTAGTCTCAAGGGAGTTGGACTATTTAGTGACTTTATTCTCACATGCAGAGTTCCACAAGACTCAAGCAAAAGCTGCAAGGATTCTCGTGAACTAGCATCTGTGCTTCTATTGTATTTTTCAAGCAAGTCATTAATACCAGCCAAGATTCAAGGCAGAGGTGGGTTAAATTATATACCATCTTTATGGAAATAATAGTAAAGAATCTGTATCTATTTCTAGCTACCCCAGTTTTCACCCTATGGATATAAACCATTCACAATCTATTAACACTTTGATATTTATCACTTATAAGACCCTTTCGACAGAGCTTGACAAATTTTCTGTAAATGGACAGATGATAAATATATTTGGCTTTACGGAGATTACATTTTCTATTACATCTACTCTGACACTGTAGAGGAAAAGCAGCCCTAGACAGTACATGAGCATGGTGTTTGCCAATACAATTTTCATCACAATGCAGACAATGGGTCAGATTTGGCCTATGGGCCATTGCTTAGTGAATCATCGATTATAGCATCTGCATTTGAAAAAATTAAATTCTCAGAACTGTTGCTAAAACCTTCATTCTCTTTTAAATGCTAGCAATTCCCATTTATTAGAAACTTAGAAAATTATGTACAGTATCATCAAATATTTACTTAGCAAAATATCAAAATGCTTTACTCCTCATCCCCTCCTAAAATCCAGAACAATATTTAAGATGATGTCACAATTTAAATAATACTGGAAAAATTCTGCACTTGTAAGTTAGGAAGGGACTACACCTCAGGTAAGTTGCAGAACTGGGACAGCATATAGCAATGAGAGCTGGAAATGTATTGGGGGAATGAATCCTGAGGGCACAAGATCAAGGGAGAATTAAAATGTAAATTTGATGTGTATATATACTGTAATCTGCCTAAATCTGACAAGGGCTGTGGAAAACAATTCATAATGATGTTAAGATACCTCTTCTATGATTCACAAAAGTAATAGATGACACTAAATGAAGTAGAAATGACAACTGCCAAATGAAATAGTTGAGAAAGAGATGAAAAGCTCAGAGAAGTGGGCATACTAGAATCAATGTAATATGTAAGACCAGAAAATCCATAATCAGACCAGGTTTTTCAACAAAGAGATAATAACTGAGCTAGTAAGTACAGGCATAAGCATTGTTGAGAAATCAGCAGTGGCTGTTCTCTGTAGGCCAGGGCTGATAATAGTATATGCTTATTCAGAAATGGCTTCTCAGTTATAATGGGAATGATAATATCAAAAAATAATGTAGATCAAATAGACACATTTATATATAAGAAACATAAAAATGTGTAATTATTATGATAAGACACATTATTATAAAATGAGATACATATATAATTTGGACTGTCAGTGCAGTTCTTGAGCCATATAGAACTACAGATATGATAAAATGAATATGACACCTCTGGTGGCAATGTTGATGGGCAAGCAACAAGGAAACTGTCAATCCATAAAACTAAAATAATCAAGGATGAATGTTGACAGGCTGAGGTCAGCAATCCTAATGTAAACAACATGATGCAACATAGATAGGCCTTGAAACTATTATGATAAGTGAAATGTTATTTCAAAAATAGTGATTAATTGTAAAGTACTCAGAGCAGAATACCCTCAAATGTGAATTTATTAAGTGGAATTTTAAAAAATTACAAAAACAACAAGAAAGCAAGTAAATTAAGAAAGAAACCTTGCAGCAGAAATAATACAACTACATCATACAGAAGCGACAACTGGATCAGGGAACTAGAATAGGAAGCCTAGAAATAGAACCAAGTAGATACATAAATTTAGTATACAATAAAGGTGATATTTCAAAATACTGCAGTATAGTTGGATCTTATGGAAGTGATGCGGAGAATATTGAATAGCCAGCTTGTGAAAGACAGAATTGGATTCAGACTTTACAACCATAATAATAAGTGATTTATTAAATAAAAAGAAGGACTGCCTTATTATGTAAAGACATATAAAGCGAAAGGGAAAACAGCGTAGTTCTGACACAAGGGCCGATGACATGGAATAGTGTTCAGAAACAGACTCACAAAATATGAATATGTAGAAAAATATTGCCTAACTCTAACTCCGTATCACATTACAAAAAAATTAACTACACATGATTAAACTATCTAGATATTAAAAACAAAACTTTAAAAGTTTTAGCCAAAAATATAGGCTTATACTCTTCTGAATGTTTGTTAATAAAAAAATCCTAGATAAATGGAAAACATATTAATAAAAAATTATAAATATTAACCTCATTGAAATAAGCCTTGTTGAAAAAAGACCTGTCATAGAAAGTGGAATGTCAATATAAAAATGAAAGAATAAATTTGTAACATTTAACTGACAAAGGAGTGCTATGAAACATTTAGAGAGTAACAGCAAAAATACAAGAAGCTTATTAAACAACAACGGCCGGGTACAGTGGTTCATGCCTGTAATCCCAGTACTGTGGGAGGCCAAGGAGGGCGGATCATGAGGTCAGGAGATCAAGACCATCCTGGCCAACATGGTGAAACCTCATCTCTACTAAAAATACAAAAATTAGCTGGGCGTGGCGGGGCATGCCTGTAGTCCCAGCTACTTGGGAGGCTAAGGCACGAGAATCGCTTGAACCCAGGAAGTTGCAGTGAGGCAAGATTGCGTTCCTGCACTCAAGTGAGACTCCATCTCAAAAAAAAAAAAAAGAAAAAAAAAAAAACTAATAGACAAAATATTAAGCACTCCTCAGAAAAGGAAATGCATCTTTCTGGGCATAGATCATGGTAGAGTAAGGCTATCTGTGCTCCACAACCAAGCAGTTCTACAGACATTTGGAGCACCTACTCATCTGGCTCAGCAGCTTTTTGAGTAGAGATCCAGGTACAAGAAAGGCTCTCTCTGTGACACACCCAGGCAGATTTCTAGGCATTCAGACACCTGCTTTGCCGGCTCAGCAGCCAGAGTTGCCACAGCTTCCCCGGACAGAGATCTTGGTGCATGGGGGACACTTCTGGTAAATGGTCAGGCAGATCTCCAGACCTTTGGAGCTTGCACTTTCCTGAAACAGCAGCTTGAACTTATCTAGGCTTCCTGTGCAGAGATCCTGGTGTAGGTGGCCCTATTTGTTCCCTGACCAGGCAGATCTCCAGGAATCCAGAGCACTCATGCTCCTGGATTAAGAGTTTAGGTCACCCTCCATCCCAGCGTAGAAATCTTGGGGATGAGAAGGTTTCCCAGCTCCATACCTAGGCAAACCACTGGGTGCTTCGTGGCTGCCTATGGGATTCTCCCATGCTGCTGCTTGTGTTTGACATCACATGTCCTATAGGCAATCCTGCCCAGTCTGCTCCTACCCATCTTGGCCACCACCACCCCAAAGCTGAATAGAGAACTCATACTACTATGCACTCCATGAATCAGCCAATTGCCTGTGGCAACAGACTTTCTCCCAGTAAGCAAGGAGCAAATATACACCCAGCTACATTGGTCACATCTGGCTTTTACCTCTCAGTACCATCTGTTGGCTTGTAGGTCAAATTTCACAGCCCGGTATAAAACCTGATGTCAGAAGCACATAGAACTGTAGAAGCAAAGCCAAAACACCCTATCCAGAATTCTCTACAGTTACACGCCCTAAGGAGGTAGGAGAGGAAAAGGGAAACAACAACAACAACAAAAACCAATAATAGTACAGGAAAATAAAGAAAAAATCCTACCTGAACAAAAATAATGACCAAAATTAGAAGTGACAGCATCTTTAGATGAGAAGGAACCAGTGCAAGAATTCTGACACCATTACAAATCTGAATGTAGTGACACCAACAAAAAATTACACTAGTTCTCCAGCAATGATCCCTAATCAAAATGAAAACAAATAATGAATTCAAAGCATGGATTGCAAGGAAGCTCAAAGACATCCAAGACAAGTTTGAAAATCAACACTAAGAAATTTCTAAATTGATCCAGAAAACGAAGGAAGAGAGAAACATCCTAAAAAAATTAATCAGAGCTTTTGGAATATAAAAACTCCCTTAAAGAATTTCAAAATACAATTGAAAACTTTATCAATAGACTGAACCGAACAGAAGAAAGAATTCCAGAGTCTGAAGACTGGTCTTTTGAACTAAGAAAGACAGACAAGAATAAAGAAAAAAATTAATGAACAAAGTATTCAAAAAATATGAGATTAGGTAAAGTGACCAAACCTATGAATTACTGACATCCATGAGAGAGAAGGAGAAAAAGTAAGCAAACTTGCAAACATATTTGAGGTAACAATTCAAGAAAATTTCCCTAATGTGGTTTGAGAGGTAGACATTCAGATGGAAGAAATACAGAGAACAGCTGTGAGACACTATTAAAAAAAAACTATAAAAAAACTATAAAAAATTATTTTAAAAAAACTATTAAAAAATCACCAATGCATATAGTCATCAGACTGTCCAAGGTCAATGCTGAAGAAAAAAATCTTAAAGGCAGCTAAAGAAAAACAGTCAGATCAGATACAAAAGAAACCCCATCAAGCTAATGGTAGACATCTCAGCAGAAACCTTACAAGCCAGGAGAGATCGGAGGCCTATTTTTAACATTCTTAAAGACACAAAATTTCAGCCAATAAACATATATCCCACAAAACTAAGGTTCATAAGCAAAGAAGTTAAATCTTCTCCAGTTAAGCAATTGCTAAGGGAATTAGTTACCACTAGACCAGCCTAACAAGAGATCCTTAAGAAATGAAAAATGAAACAAATCATTCTACTAAAAAGATACTTGAAGTTGTATATTAATTTCAGTGCTATTCACAATAGTAAAGACATGGAATCAGCACAGATTACCATCAATTGTGGATTGGATAAATAAAATGTGGTACATATACACCACAGAATACATAGACATAGTATTATAGTATTATGGGAAAGAACAAAATCATGTCCTTCATTGAAAAATGGATGCAGCTGGAGGCCATTATCCCAGGTGAATTAATGCAGAAACATGAAACCAAATACTGCAGGTTTTCACTTATAAGTAAGAGCTAAAGACTGGGTACTCATGGACAGAAAAAAAAATGGCAACAATAGAAATTAGAAACTACTAGAGGGGAGAGAATGAGAAGGGGACAAGTGTTGAAAAACTGTTGGATACTATGCTCAGTACCTGAGCGAGGGGATTATTTGTACCCCAATGCTCAGCATCTCACAACATACTCAGGTAAGCAACCTGCACATGTACCCCCTGAAGCTAAAATAAAAGTTGAAAAAAAAGCAAATGTATAAAGCCAACGACATATAAAAAGATGCTTGATCTCACCAATAATCAGGAAATGGTAAATTAATATGACAATAATTGAATATTTCATACATATTCGATTGGTAAAAATACCAAATCATAAATAACACTGTTGGAAAATTTGGCAATTAATGGAATCCATTATACATTTTTGTGGGACTACAAATTTGTACAAATATTTGTACAAATATTTCAGGTATACATTTTGTTACTATCTTATAATATGCATTTTAATTTAATTTGCTAAATATCTACACTCTTATATATACACCTGAGAGAAACCAATGCATAAGTATACAGATGTTCCCTGAATTATAATGGCTTGATTTACAATTTTTTTACTTTATGATGGTGTAAAAGCTATACTTATGGTATATAACCAATGCTTCAAGGGGACCCATAGAACCATTCCATTCTGTTTCTTATTTTTAGTACAGAATTCAATACATTACATGAGACAGTTGATACTTTATTATAAAATAGGTTTTTTGTTGGATGATTTTGCTCAACTGTAGGCCAATGTATGTGTTCTGAGCACATTTAGAGTATACTAGGCTAAATCATGGTATTTGGAAAGTTAGGTAAAGTAAATGCATTTTTACTTGAAATATTTTCAACTTTTGATGGGTTTGCTGAGATGTAGCTCCATCATAAGTTGAGGCGCATCTGTACAAGGAGGTGTGTACAAATATGTTTATATCATAGCAATATTAATACACAAAACAGGAAAAAAGACAAATGGCCTCATGAAATAATGGATAAACTGGTATATTTACAGACTGGAACATTAGAAAGTAATACATATAAATTAACTTTAGCTACCTACAGTAACATCGATATGTTTTTAAAAATAAAAAAGGGAATATTACCAGGCTATCATTATGCGTGGTAATTGACAACACAGTATTAGACAGGTACTACCAAAATAGTGGATAGAGCAGATTTCATTGATAATTTTAATTTTGCATCACAATTGTAGGATTATTTAATACTAGTGAGAATTTCAAGACAACATAAAACCCAAGAGAAACTGGTAAATTAGCTAAATCTACCATGGGCTTAGAAGTGAAAAATGTGTTCTTTGTACCCCAATTTTACCATCTCTGTTGTTTTGAAGTAAAAATGGTCTAACAGACAATCCTAAAATAGTGTAATATTTAAAAACCTAAACCAGAAAAGGGTTTATAAGGCAAACTTTGCAGGATTATCCAGAAAGGTAGAAAAAAGCCAATCATAGAAATATCATGTAATCTTTGGAGAATATGTCTCAAGAAAAATGAGTAATATTTTCCATGAAATAAACACTGGATAAAAAAATAAAAACAAGCTAAGTGAATATGGAGTAAGTTTATCACTTGAGAAAATGATGGGAACAATGTGTTAGAGATGTGAGAAGAGACAAAGTAGTAATTTGTTTCTCAAGTGTTCTGACAGAGGAAATGAACTAAATAATTATAAATATGATGTCTATTGGTGGGTAGATTGTATTTTTTAATGACCACTGCAATAAATCTGGCTCTACATATCCTTCCAGAATTCCCCATTTCTATCCACTGGAGGAGAGAAGTAACATTTTCTCTCCGCTTGTGACTGGGTAAGAATTCTGACTGCCTTGGTGCATAGAATGTGGTAGAAATTTCTCTGTATGATTTTAAAAGTTATATCATAAATGACTATATTGTGCAGCTAGTTCTTCCTTGGAACAGAGTCACCAGGGTGCCAGAAAAGTCCAAACTAGCTAATATGGATAGATCACATGAAAAAGATCATGAAGTATAAGAAACTTAAGTCATCCACCGACAATCAGTATCAGCCACCAGACACATATGTAAATAAACTCTTTTGACCCTGGCCTTAAGTCTTCAAGTTGAGGCTCCAGTAATTGTGGAGGAGAGTAAAACTGTCCTCACAATTCCAGGTCTAAATTTCTGATTGACAAACTACTTTATTCCATGGAGTTTTGTGATAGCTTATTAAATAGCTATAATGACTGCAATGGTTTTTGGTACGTGGGAGTGTATGCTTTCATAAAAATTTAAAATTTGTCAGTGGATTCTGGACAGGAAGATGACCAAAGTCGGCAAGGCTTTGAAGAAATTGTCAGCAAACACCTGGTGATCTTTGAACAAGTCTGTGAAGGCTTCAATGAAAGTTAAAACTAAGAATTCACTGTCTTCTTATTCTTTCTCTAATTTATTTAATTTTATTTTTTGGTCAACATAGCTAAAGAGTTGTCAATTTTGCTAATTTATTCAAAGAACCAACATTTGTTTTCATTGATTTTTCTCTATTGCTTTCCTTTATTAATTTTATTTTATTGTTATTCTTCATTTTATTATTTTCCATTCTAATTTTTATTATTTTCTCCCTTCTGCAGTTTACATGTAACTCCCTCTTTTTTTCTTAAGAGATAGAGTTAATTTTTCCTTCCCAATTTTAATGTCTTTCATGTATTTATTCTGTCCGATTGTTCTGACTTGAAATGTTGATACAATGCTAGCTAAATAGCAGTGGTAAAAGTAGAAGCTTTAGCATGTTTCTTACCTTTGGGGAAAGTTTTTATTTTTTCACTTTATTTATTTATTTATTTATTGCCACGGAGTCTCACTCTGTCGCCCAGGCTGGAGTGCAGTGGAACGATTTCGGCTCACTGCAACATCCGCCTCCCGGGTTCAAGCAATTTTCTGCCTCAGCCTCCCAAGTAGCTGGGATTACAGGTGTCTGCCAGCAGTCCCGGCTAATTTTTGTATTTTTGGTAGAGACGGAGTTCCACCATGTTGGCTAGGCATTTTTTCACTGTTGAGAATAAAGTTAGTTTTAAGTTCCCCATAAATACTTTTTATCATGTTAAAAATAATTTTCTTTATTCTTTGTTTTCTGGATGGTTTTATCATGGAAGTGTTGGATGCATATTATAATTAATTATTTTCTTGTCGATTTTTACCATTAAATAGTACAGTGATTCATATGTGTTTTGGGTATATTGATATTTTATTGATTATACTCTTAATTATGTAATTTTATATTTTAATAACTGAAATGTTCAATATTAGATTTTAAATAATATATAATGCTTAGATTATATTGCATTGCACTTATTCAAATTATCCCTTGCTGAACAATTAGGAAAATTCTTTATTGTTATTACATACATTGTTCAGTAAATTTCTTGCAGATTTGAAGTCCTATTTCTTGCTCTTGTTTTGTTTTTGTTTTCTGTTTTGTTTTGTTTTTTTAAGATGGAGTCTCGCTCTATCACCAGGCTTGAGTGCAATGGCGCCATCTCAGCTCACTGCAACCTCTGCCTCCAAAGCTCAAGAGATTCTCATGCCTCATGCCCAAGTAGCTGGGACTACAGGCATGCGCCACCACGCCCAGCTCATTTTTGTATTTTTAGTAGAGACGTGGTTTCACCATGTTGACCAGATGGTCTCAATCTCTTGATCTCGTGATCTGCCCACCTCGGCCTCCCAAAGTGCTGCGATTACAGATGTGAACCACCACACCGGCCTTCTTGCTCATTTTTAACATTTTCATACTCAGTACCAAATTGTCTTCGAGAGCAGATATACCAATATAGACTGTCATATTAATATAGTGTGAAATCACTCTTTAAGGTTTTAATTGGGAGCGAACTAATTGGAAAATGTTTTCTATTGTTTAGAGGAGAAAATGTGGTCTGTAATTCTCAATTAAATAAAAAAAATTATAAATGGAGCATAAACTTATGTATAATTTCTATCTGATATTCTTCATATAAGCCTGGGTGTGGAGATCAGGAACTAAACCTAAACTTCATGTAGTCCCACTTCTTCATTTTCTCTTACAATAATGGTAAATTAGAATAACTCACTCCAAAAGAGGAAGCTTTGATAATATTCTGTCGTTGAAAGTTTATGAGTAGGAAACATCAATGTTTGTACCTCTATATCTAATTTTATGAACACTAGCTGTATCATATGAGCCCCATTTTCACTCAAGAATGCATATGAGAAGGGAAACAAGGGCTCAAAGAATGTTTTAGATAGATACCACTGACTGCATTGAAACATATATATATATATGATTTGTAGATACAACATATATATATTTTAATATATATATTTCAACACATTATGATCTTTGATAATCTGTTGGATTACTGGAGACAAACTGGACTCATGAGGGCCAAAGAGCATTAACAGGTTTTATCACTAATGATTATATCAAAATATTATTTTTAAATTTTTTGACTAGTTCTTAGCAATTATTACCTTGCCATATCTGGTATTAATTGTTTAAATTTGATGTCATACTCAATTTAAACTTTACATTTCTTCAGTTTATTTTTATATAAATATTATTGTTTACATATTTACATTCTAAAGTAAAATTAACATTATGCAGAACATGCATTCAATGTATTCGAAACATATCAGTTAATTTTGTTTTAACAAATAATTTTTAATGTTCAAAACTCTAAGTTAAAAGCAACACACACTACCATATTATAGAGGTTGAAAGTGTAAGTTCTTGAAATCTAGTTTTGTGATTGGGGTAATTATTCAATTCAATCTCTTTGGTAAACTCAGGTATATATGTATGTATGTGTATGTGTATGTGTAAAATTTTGATAGCAAGTTACTCTTCAGATTTCAGGATAAAATAGTTGTGAAGTATTGAACACATTGCTTGGTACAAAACAAGAGCTTAATAATTATTACTTGTTTTCACGAATGTCTTCTGCGTGTTCTTTATTATAAAGTAATTTATCATGAACTATAAAATATACTTTATATAATACTTAGTATTAAATACATTATATTCTTATTCTTTATTATTGTGATGAGCAGTACTACTAGATACATCAATTACTTCCTATTTGTATTTTCTATTAGAAATATTAGATAAACCCAAAATAATTTTTTAAGCATGGCACTTTTTACCTCTTTTTTAAATGTGAGAGAAAATCTTTTTTCAAATCTCATGTCACTATAAATAGTTTAAAACATTTTCACCAACAAAAGGAGTTAAAAGGATTCAATATATTTGAGAAAAGAAAATAAGACCTGAGAAATGTGGCACTGAATGGCTCTGACATGTATATTATCTTACCTGGAATCATTTCATTATGAGGGCTAAAAAAATAGCTGTTCTTTGGGGCTTAGTGAATATAGCTCTAATTTCAGCTTCTAATTTCAGGTTCTCATATATAATTACTCTCTCTATGAGTGTTGAGTGGAGGGTTTTTTGTTACCTTGGGTATGAGCTTTAATTTAAATCCTCAGATTTCCAAAATTCTAATTTAAACTGTAGAGCAGTACAGCTATGATCAGATTGTTCTCTTGCAAATGGGGTTTATAATTTGCAAATCTCAAATGAAACAAATCATTTAGCAGAAATTAAAGAAGCAGTTAGTCCAGGCTGTTAAAAAATGAAAAGAAAGAAAAGAAAAGCTTAAATACTATTCTGAGAACCTAATCAAGAAGAACTATAGAGTTACTCTTGAATTATATGCCCAATGACGATTTAAGTCTGATCCTTTTGAGAAATATTAATAAGTAAGTTAAAGAAATGGCAAAATGAAAGTAGTCTGAAATGTTAGTATTATGTAGCTGATTTTTATAGTTTATATTGAAGAGAAAGGATCTTTGCCTCTTCAGATATAGCACAAGTTAGATGCCGTTGCTACTGTAGCAGAGAAGAATCCTCTATCTTCCATATTCAATTCTCCAAGGTTCCTAAAATGTCAGCTATCAAAAATTACTAGTGCTTTATAATTGTCTTCATTCTTTTTCTATTCTGCACATATGGAAGAGCTATTTGCCCTAAAATTGATGACAACAATCTACTTCACTCAGATATAGAAAAGCAGAAAGATATTCTTTATTTTTCAGTCAAAATAACCAATATCTGTTTGAAAGGAAATCACCTTATGAGAAGACAGTGAGTCTAAGATTGTGAAGGAAGGAAGATCAAAATCAAATCAGGAGGCAGCTTGAAAGCCCTTTTAAGGCAGGCAAAGTTGGCGCATTCTTACTTATGTATCTTTAGGTAGAAGTGAGCTGACATAGGGATTATCAAGACAGACACATTGCCTTAATCTTAGCTTATCTTTCCTAGTGATGCATGTGTTGACTTTAAAATTTATAATGGAAGGCTGTTGCACAAAGTGGTTTTTTTTTGACAATGAGTAGTTATCACAAACATTAACCTACTCCATATAAAGTCTACAGCAATTTCAAATACTTCAAATGACACAAATAACTTAAGTGAGAGCTCAAATGTTGAACCTATTAAATGTATGTATGTTGGTCATCTTGAAATTATAAGGCAAGCCGCATAGGTATTAGTAATATGTAGGAGAAAAACAAGCTAAGCATGGTGGGCATGTTAAGAACTAACATGTCGTAGTGGCTACCATGAATAGAAGAAGGGAGAATTTGTCATCAGTGAGGCTTATCTTCATTATCTAGCTTTAGGTAGTCCAAGAAATGGCTTTTAAGTTACAGATATGGTGAGAAAAGAGTCAGATTAACTTTTCAACTGGGAGACTTTCCTCTGGAGCCTGGAGTTCAGTAATATCTTGTAGTTTTTGGTTTGGCCACAAATAGATTTAATTGATAGAATGGAACTATAGTTTCAGGAAACTGTTTTAGAAAGTACAAATTAAAAATCAGAAAGTATCAGGGCTCCAGTTCTATTCCCAGTAGGGACTGGGGTGATTCTGCTAGCTTAAAGATGTTTGGTTGTTCCAGGTAAACAATCAACTACTTGAATAAATTTCATGACTCAGGATGATGAATGTCAACCTATGTCAAGTTCAACCAGGCAGAACTCGAAAGCCCAATTTATGATATAAAAGTATTTAATGAAGTAAGATGTCTCGGTGACTGAGACAAAAGCAAGTGGTGTAAAACGTGGGGCATGGTAGAAAATTTTTACCAAATCTAATATATGTCAATGGGAAATTATAAACAGGTTTAAATCTCTTAAAAAAGATAAGCAGAGTTTACAAAAGTGGGGTAGGTATCTCTAATTTCAAGTTGCAGTATTAAGTCATACATAAGTGGTTTGAGAAAAGCAGCACATAAAAGAGTCAAATAGGCAGACTACCTAGTCTGCAGAAGGAGAGGATAGATTCAAGATGTCATATTTTTATGTTTACAGCAACTTTGAGAAATCTGTTGCTCTTTAGGAACTTTAGTCCTCTTTGCATAAGAAATATAATTTGATTATCCTGAGCCTGGAGAGGAAGGTGAAGGATACAGGGTAGGATCATTCATGAAACCTACAAAGAGTGGATTATAGAGGAATAGCCCTAATCCAGAATGTCTTCATCTTATGTATGTCACATGAATATGATATGAAGCTCTATGTGACAAATTAATAATTCAGCATTAAAAAACTAAAAAAAATTAGTACTCTTTCTTTTGGATATCAAGACTTAAGCAACGTTTTATATTCCTTACTTTATTTTTACTCTTTATTCCAGCTTACCCTACCTTATCCTTATTTATACAACCTCTTTATTAATTTTATGGCGTATATATTTTTGTTAGTTACCCTCAATTATTTTTCAGAAAATTATGTGTATTTTGGCTTACTCATTTAAAAGTAAATTTAAAAATACAGTTGAGTGTATTTAAAAACATTAACATAGCAACCAAGAGCCATTTCTAAATTAAAAGTAATGATTCTACAGAGGTATTACATGCAATATTTGCCCATGGTAATTTCAAATGCATGTATGCATGTTGACAAAGGGTTAAAAAGGTGGCAGGAGTTTATTTTTATATATTTTTAATTGATAGTCTTCTCCCTAGGTGATGTCTTCTGATTACTATTATGTTTAATCAAAGGTTTTATAAAATATTCTACCACATAGATAATTGATATAATCAAGCACTTTGGTGAATCTGTTTAAGAATATTCAATAAAGCACTTTATACAACATGAGGACTTTCAAATTAACAATAACAGAAAATAAATGGCTATTAATGTTTTGTCATGATGAGGCTTGTCTAGGTACAGCACATTTCTAATAATATAATTCAAACGTCAATAATTTGGTTCCAAATTATTAAATCTATTGGTGGAACATTAACACGCAGAATTATGGCAACAAAAACTAAAGATGGATGTTTTCTTATCGTCCAAGTCTTGACATTTTTATTAAGATCCTTAGTTCTATCTCCCACTAAAACATTCCTGCTGCTTCTTTAAAATACCCACATGATAAACTTCCAAATTAGAAATATACACAGGTCAGAGCCGGGAGTGGTGGCTCATGCCTGTAATCCCAGCACTTTGAGAGGCCGAGGCGGGTGGATTGCTTGAAGTCAGGAGTTCAAGACCAGCCTGGCCAACGTGGTGAAACCCCGTCTCTACTAAAAATGCAAAAATTAGCCAGGCATGGTGGTGCACGTCTGTAATCCCAGCTACTCGGGAGGCTGAGGCAGGAGAATTGCTTGATCCCAGGAGCCGGAGGTTTCAGTGAGCCGAGATCCCACCACTGCACTCCAGCCTGGGTGACAGAGTGAGACTCTGTCTCAAAAAAAAAAAAAAAAAAAAAAAAAAAGAACAAACACAGGTCATGATATTAGAAGACAACCTAGGCTTAAATAAACTTTACTATCTACTATTAGACCTCAGGACAAGTAATCCAGAAAAATATGCTTTCTCCTAACAAAGAAGTAAAACAAACTCCTGCTTTCAATAGGCAGCACATGTCTAAGGAATGACCATGATGTACGCTTCTCTACCAATCAGCACTTTGACCCCACTTTCCTTTATCTGTTACTTTTTCTTTAATCTTACGAAATACAACATTCGAAGTCAGAGCCACTATGGAAATATAAATGAGATGTTAGGAGAAGTAATTCAGTTATGTGTAAACCTGGAAAATTCAGCTCCAGCAGCCTACTGTCGCCCTGCCCGTCCCCCGCCATGATTCTCACCTCAGAGTCCCTTCGAATACATGATTCTGTTGATGACACACACTGAGGGCGAAGACTTGTCCACAGCTCATAAATTGCACATGGTTAAAGCTGCAGCAGACGTAAAAGGTGTTAAAAATTAGAGATTTTAGTTCTTTCAAACCCACTATTATACGTAATGTCTGATACTTCTTACAATAAATTCTGGCAAGTGAGAAAACTTAAAAAAATAGAAAAATATTTTTTGCATGATGATATTTTATCATTATATATTTCAGATAAATAAAAATGAAAAATATCATATGTCTTAACAAAATTCACCACCATATAATGAGGTGGCAAAGAAAATTAAAAAAAAAGAAAAATCCATTTTAGTTATTTTGCCATCTAACATTAAAAAAACATAGAAATGTTAGCTGAAGTTTTATTTTCCTTAAAAGGCAAGATAATATTGTGTTTATAAGCCACAAATGTCATATATCTGACCATATAAGCTGAAAATTATTTTGAAACAAGTTCAAAAAGACTATATGAGTTAAATATAATCAATACTCTAGATACAAAATTTTTGTTTTTTTCTTACGTATGAAAGGGAATTACACTGTATTTTCACATATGTGTATTTTGTGACAAAAAAGTAGAATGGTTTAAAATTTTAATTTAAAATTTTATGTAGCATGTTGTAAATTGAATGCTAAGAATTTAGGTAATATATTTTTCAGACTACCTATGTCCATTAACCATGTTGATTTTTGACTCTTTACTTTGGTTCTGAGCAGCAAGGGTTAGACCCTACACCAGACTGAAACATCAGTATCAATAAAGCAAACCTTAAGTATTCACCATAATCCACACTCTACACTAAGTCATTTATATGTTTTTTAAAATTGTGAGATATACAATTCATTAAGACTGCATAAAACACATCTGTAATTCCAAAAATAATTATAAAGCAAAAACCTATCCATATAATTAACATATTTATATGCACTCCTACTCCTCACCGTAAAATGACAAAATTTTGAAAATCTTAGAAATATTTTTAATAATTTTATAACTAAACTACATTATCCAAAGCAATGTGGTTTTTGTTTAGTTGTTCTCTTCACCTCATCTCTGAGACTTAATAATGTTTTCCAAGTTCCCTTTCCGATTTTTCCTACTCTTTTGTCCTTATCTGAATCCCACTTCATTTTTGCATAAAGTACATGAAACTTTTCTCTTCCTTTGAAAAACTGCCTTTCAGCATCTATCCTGTCTTTTCAAATTTGAACAGTGACTCTGCTTCTGTGATTGCCAAATGTCTCTTGAATCACTGATTTCCATCTTCAATTAACTATTTGTATTAGTCTACACACACGCATACATGCAGACATATTGGTATCTTCAGCTTTAATAATACACCCTCTTGACCTCGACTGTCTGTTAGCTGCTATCCCACTTCTTTGTTTCTATTCACGGTAAAATATCAAAATATTTGTTTATACTTACCAATTCAAATTCAAATTTCCCATTTTCTGTTCTTCTCTTTAGTTCACTCAAAATTACCTTTAATCCATATGGTTTTCATTAGAACTGCTGTGGTCAAAGAAAATCCTACTTCAAATCCTTGAAGAAATTTTTCTATATTATTTTCTAAGGGCTTCATTTTTTTCCGCTATATTAAATAGGTGAATTACATCCAATTAAGTTTTGTGACTAGTGTGAGGAAAAAAAAAATCACTTTTAAAAACATAGATACTTAATTACCAATTTTAGTTATTGAAATGCCTATTGTTTGTCCACACAGCTTGCATATGCAAAAATTACTTTATAAATTAAATGTTTATATATATTTCACTCTTTTTTAAATGTTTTGTTCTATTGACTTATGGTTGTAATAATATGAAATTTAATTGCCAAGTTTCTAATGAGTCATAATATCTGAAAATGTAACTCTTCTACTATTGTCTTAAGATTTTTTGATAGTATTTTTTGCATATTAATTTTAGAATAATATCTATCAATTTTAACTCAATATCCCAATATAATTTTGATTGAGACTAAATTGTATTTATAGGTCAGTTGATGTAAAATTGATAGAGAATTATAATAGGGTTTTCTAATCCAGGAACAGGATAAATCATGCCAATTATTAAGATCTAAAATTACTTTCTGTAATGTATTACAGTATTCTATATAGGCATCTTAAACATTTTTGTTGGAATAATTTCCAGTATTTGCTATTTTTTAAGGTAATTTTATATTTTAAAAATTTTATGGGAATGTACTAGGTGTACTTTTTTTGGGGTACATGATATATTTTGGCACAGGGATACAATGCGTAATAATCACATCAGGGTAAATGGAGAATTCATCAACTTAAGCATTTATCATTTCTTTATGTTACAGACTTTACCATTATACTCTCTTAGCTATTTTAAAAGGTACAATAAATTATTGTTGATTCTAATCACACTGTTGTGCTATCAAATATTAGATCTTACTCATTCTGTCTAACTCTAATTTCATACCCATTAATCATCCCCACTTCCCTGTCCCTGACCATGCTTCCCACCCTCTGGTAACCATCATTCCACATTCTATCTCCATGAATTCAACTGTTTTCATTTTTAACTCCCACAAGTAAGTAAGAACATGTGGATTGTCTTTCTGTGCCTGGTTTATTTCATTTATAATGTCCTCCAGTTCCATCTGTGTTTTTGCAAGTGGCAGAATCTCATGTTTTATGGCTGAATAGTACTCCATTGTGTATATGTACCACATTTTCATTAGCCATTCATCTGTTGATGATTGCTTAGGTTGCTTCCCAATATTGACTATTCTGAATAGTGCTGCCATAAATACAAGGGTGCAGATATCTTGCTGATACATTGATTTCCTTTCTTTTGGGTAGACACCTAGAAGTGAGATTGCTAGATCATGTGATAATTCTATTTTTAGTTTTCTGAGGAAACTCCATACTGCTCTCCATAGCAGCTATGCTAAGTTACATTTCAACAAGTAGTGTACAAGGGTTCCCTTTACCCCACATCCTTACTAGTATTCATTATTGCCTGTCTTTTGAATAAAAGCCATTTTAACTGGGGTGAGATATTTCATTGTAGTTTTGATTTCCATTTTTCTGATGGTCAATGATGTTGAGCACCGTTTCATATACCTGTTTGCTCTTTGTATGTCTTCTTTTGAAAAATATCAATTCAGATGTTTTGCTTATTTTTAAATTGGATTACTATATTTTTTTCCTATTGAGTTGTTTGAGCTCCTTATGTATTCTGCTTATTAATTCCTTGTCAGAGCAGTAGTTTGCAAATATTTTCTCCCATTCTCTGGCTTGTCTCTTCACTTTATTAATTGTTTTCTTTGCTAAGCAGAGACTTTTAAACTTGATGTGATCCCATTTGTCCATTTTTGCTTGAGTTGCCTGTGTTTGTGGGGTATTACTCAAGAAATATTTGCCCAGGCCAATGTCCTGGAGAGTTTCCTCCAATGTTTTCTTATAGTACTTTTATAGCTTGTGGTCTTAGATTTAAGTCTTTAGTTCATTATTTGATTTTTTACATGGTGAGTGATATGGGGTCTCACTTCATTCTTCTGCTTATGGATATCCCATTATTCCAGCCTCATTTATTGAAGAGACTCTCCTTTCCCCAATGTATGGTCTCAGCACCTTTATTGAAAATGAGTTTACTGTAGTTGTATGGACTTATTTATGTGTTCTCTATTCTGTTCCATTGGTCTGTGTCTGTTTTTATGCCAGTACCATGATGTTTGGTGACTATATCTCCAAAGTATAATTTGAAGTCAGGTAATGTGACTCCTCAAATTTTGTTCTTTTGGTCCAGGAGAACTTTTGCTATTATGGGTCTTGTGTAGTTTCATATAAATATTAGGATTATTTTTGCCATTTCTTTGAAGAGTATTATTGGTGTTTTGATAGGGATTGCACGGAATCTTTAGATTGCTTTGGGTAGTGCGGATATTTTAAAAATATTGACATCTTCCAGTCCATGTACATAAAATATCTTTCAATTGTTTTGTGTTCTTTTTTTGCATTAATGTTTTACATTCTTATTCTAGAAATCTTTCACTTTTCTGGTTATGTTTACTCCTAGTGATTTTATTTTTTGTAGCCATCGCAAATGGGATTACTTTCTTGCTTTCTTCTTCAGATTGTGCACTGCTGGCATATAGAAATGCTACTGATTTTTGTATGCTGATTTTGTATTCTGAAACTTTACTGAATTTGCTTATCAGTTTTAACAGTATTTTGGTGGAGTCTTTAGGTTTTTTGAAATATATTATCTGCAAACAAGGACAATTTGACTTTTTCCTTTCCAATTGAATGCTGTTTTTTTCTTTATCTTGTCTGGTTGCTCTAGATAATATCTCTACTACCATGTTGAATAACTGTGGTAAAGTGGGAATTCTTGTCTTGTTTTGATCTTAGAGGAAAGACTTTCAGTTTATACCTGTTCAGTATGATACTAGCTGTAGGTCTGTCATATATAGTTTTTATTGTGTTGAAGATTGTACCTTCTATATCCTACTTTATAAAACTTTTATCACGAAGACATGATAGATATTATCAAATGCTTTTTCAGCATGGAAAAAGCATTTGATCATATGGTTTTTGTACTTCAGTCTGTTAATATCATGCATGTATCACACTGACTGATTTACATATGTTAAACTATCCTTTCATTCCTGGGATAAATCCCACTTGGTCATGCATGATGAATGAGCTTTTTATGTGTTGTTGAATTCAGTTTGGTGGTATTTTCTTGAGGACTTCTGCATCTATGTTTATTAGAGATCTTAGCTTGTAGTTTTCTTTTTTTTTAATGTAACTTTATCTGGTTTTGATATCAGGGTGATACTGGCCTTGTAGAATGAGTTTGGAAGTATTTTATCCACCACTATTATTTGAAATAGTTTAACTAGGATACGTGGTTCTTTAAATGTTTTATAAAATTCAGCAGTGAAGCTGATATGGTTTGGCTCTGTGTCACCACGCAAATCTCATCTTGAATCCTAATCTCCACATGTTGGGGCAGGAGCCTGGTAGGAGGTGATTGAATCGTTGGTTAAACTTCCTCTTGCTGTTCTCATGATAGTGAGTGAGTTCTCATCAGTTCTGGTTGTTTGAAAGTGTGTGGCATTTTTTCCCTTTTCTCTCTCTCTCTCTCTCTGTCTCCTGCCACTATGTGAAGAAAGTGCTTGCTTCTCCTTCACCTTCTGCCATGATTATAGGTTTCCTGAGGCCTTCCTGTCATGCTTCCTGTTAAGCCTGCAGAACTGCGAGTTAATTAAATCTCTCTTCTTCATAAATTACCCAGTCTCAGGTAGTTATTTATAGCTTCCTGAGAACAAACTAACACAGAAGCCACTGGGTCCTGGGCTTTTCTTTCCTGGTAGAATATTTATTATGGCTTTGATCTAATTACTTGTTAGTGATGTATTCAGGTATTGGATTTCTTCATGTTCAATCTTGATAGGTTGTATGTGTCTTGGAATTTATTTACTTCTTCTAGGTTTTCCAGTTTATTGGCATATAGTTGTTAAAGGAAAGGGGTCCCACTCCAGACTCCAAGAGAGGGTTCTTGGATCTTGCACAATAAATAATTTAGAGCAAAGAAGGTGACAACTTGGAAGAAGTTGCCTTACATATTTGGCTGACAAAAGAAAAAAGGTAACAAGAGGAGGCCAAAGGCCTTGCAGAAACACAGAGAGTTGGAAAATCAGAAGACACATGAAAGAACTCCTTCCCTACTGTAAAGAAAGCTCATTAGCCATTGCAACCCCTCATTTCTTCTGTATATAACAATTACTTTTTATACAGGATCAAATTTTACAAGAAATGAATAAAAAATAGGAGGAAATATTTATACAGAACTATTTTAAAAATTAAAATAACAAAAAATGATTTTAGTTCATGAAAAAATCTCCCCACCCAAAACAAGCAACCACACAGAACATAATTCTAACATGTTCTAGCTTAAAATAACTTTTCCAGAACAATCATTTATATATATATATAAACAAATTAATTTAAAAAAAGGAAAACTGACAGAATACAGGTTGAATTTTAAAGAGAATTGATGAAAACCAGGAAATAAAGAAAATGACAAAAAACTTCTTGATAATAAAGCCTAAATTTTGCTAGAAATTTACACAGAAATTAATGAGGTAGAATGAGAACAAATGAATTAATTAATATATCAAAATGCTGGATTCTTGACCAAATTAAAATGTATACACAAACCACAAGGAATCTTAATTTAAATATATATAAATATATAGAAATGTATAAATATACATATAAATATATAGAAATTGTAATATACAAAATGAAACCAATGCCAAGAAAATGATTGAAAGAGAAGCAAAATTTCGAACAAAACTACTTTGTGCAATTCAATGCAAATGGTTTTGAAAAGCTAGATAAAATGGATAATTTTCTTATAAAATATAGTTATCAAAATTGGCAATAGTTTTTGAAAAAGAAAGTTTTGATAGACCAATTTCTCCTAAATAGAGAAATATTTCTGATGACTACCAATTACTTTTTAGGGGAATTTTGATGATAATTTATTTTTTTGGGGGGCTTCTAAACTTTCTATTAAAGATAGCTGTCTTCCCGTTGCTCCATTGAGGAAATATTTTGTTTTTTCTCTAACTTTTTTTCATTCAGTGTGTTCAGATTAGGTATGCTTGATATTGTTCTTACATATTGTAATATTAATTGTACCTGTAGTTTGCCGTCTTTCACCAGATTTCAAATATTATCAGCCCTTATTCCTCGAAACATAATTTCTGCATTTTCTCTAACTTCTCTGTCCCTGGTATTTAATTTTCAGGTGTGTTAGACATTTTTGTATTATCTCATATGATTTTTAGTCTTTTCTCTGTACGTACATTTTATTTTTGTTTTTCCATAATTTAATCTGGATACATTCTTCTCACATTCCCTTTTTGCTCATTCTCCTTCATTTACTATCACTTCTCAGGCTTTTGGCTAAATCCAGTACAGTACCTGCTCTTTTAGTTACTTATATTGATTAAAGATTCATAAAGATCTTTGTCTTAATTATTATAATTTTCCAGCTACAGAATATTCATTTGGTTCTTTTTATATTATTTCTGTTGTTTAATTCTCGCAATTGTTTAGAGTTACTTTTAAGGGCTGATCTGAAAAATTCAAAATAAATATTTATTCCAGAAGATGACCATTTCTCAGCATTTCAGTGACAAAGTCTCCTCTGTGATCTCCATAAATGTTCGTGGGGACTATTGTTATGGTTGTTAATTACTCTTTCTGCTTCCCTTACATTCGATTTCACAGAATTGACAGCATTATCTAGTTAAAACATTAATGATATCATGTTGCTTCCTCACAAAATATCCTCCAGTAATTCTCTACATACTAGAGTAAAAACCATACATCTTTTAATGGTCTCCAAGGCCCTACAGTGTCTGGGATTTTAGTAATCCCATGACTTCACCTCTTACTGTCTTTTCTCTGGCTCACTATGGTTGTGTCCTGTACTCCTTAGTGTTCCTCAAATACAGCTGAGGATTTGGCAATGGCTATTCCCTTTTTCTAGAATGATCTTCCCCTACATATCCACATAGCTCACCTCCATCCGTTTTTGATTAAATTACATATTCTTGATGAGGTCTACTCTGGATACCTTAAAAAATTATAGTCCTACCGCCAACTTTGATGCTTCTAAACTTTAAATATAATTATAAATTATGTATTATGTTAATTATCTGTCTCAGTAATAAAAGCACTCAAATAGGATTTATGTTATTTTACCATATTATTGTATTTAATTCACAAAATAATCCTCATTTTATTTTTGAAGAAACTTAAGTGCAGGAAATTTAAGAAACATTTTCACTATCACTCAGCTATGAGTCTCAGAGGCAAAATTCAAGCATGGTCTCTTTGTCTATTCCCTTAATTATGATTGTATAATGCCTCTAGTGTGTAAGTTTACTACAGATTATAAACACAGTGGGTAAAGAACTGGAACGTTATTCATTGGGTTATGTACATCACCCCTTGAACAATAGCTGAGACACTGGGGACAGAGTAGATACTTGTTTATTATATTGAGATATATGGAGAGTTTGGTTTCTTAGTTTAAATTTATTTATTAAAAAATGTATAATGGATGTTTCTAAGAATATGTAATATAAAATACCTAAAAAAAGGAAAAGATATTATTAGGATTCACTAAAGAAATAAAAACGCATTAAAATTATTACAAGAGCAGACTTGAGGGAAAGAAACATCATTGAAGATGTATATATGGTTGAAAGTTTTTTATAATGATCTGTTTGAGCAGTCTTTTTTGATCATTATATTAAAATATGATCAATATATAAAAATAAATTAATAATTAATTTTCTCATAAAACTGTGAATAAAAAATTTAAATGCACTCTTAAGAAAGCAGCACATGAATCAAATTATAAATTATTTGAGACCTCTCAAAACTGTCAGACCATTGTGGAATCTCACAGCCATTTTCACAGTCTCTGTCATTTTTTACTTATGTCAAATTTATAATTTAAATGGTGCAAAATCTATACTGATTTTAAAAACATCAAATTAGTTTATTTTCTTTCTTATGATGTATAATTAATCCCAGTATGAGCATATGTGAAATACATTTATACAAAAGAATCTTATTCAAAATTGATATTTGATTATTTTGGGAAAATATTTATTTTAAGGAGAGTAAAATTAGTTATATAATATATAATACATTATACAAGGAACTCTACTTTAACTCATTGCAATTTCCCTAGACACCATTTACCACCCACTGAATGAAAATACTTTAATAGAAATACCTTCTAAATTATATATTTCAAAATAACATGTTATGTATTACATGGTATAAAGAGCAGAAATAAAGGAGAGTGACAAATGAGAGGACAAAGCAAAAGGGTCTGTTATGCAAAATATTGTGGTAATCTTAGTATATATTTACAATGCATCCATTCACAAGGAGGGGAACACAATGATGATAAGAATTAAAAGGAATTTTGATGTTGAAGAAGGATGGAAGAGAAATAAAAATATCTATCAGGTTTTGCTGCACAATAATCAATCATTAACTCCTGGTGAAACAGAAAAATTATACATTCATTTTAAATTCATGTTGTGATAGATGGATATCTTTAGGTAAGCTCAGCTGGACTGTGGTAGAGCAACTTTGCTAAACCTTTCTTATTCTGGGCCCTGTACTGAAGGGCCAGAATTACCCATGGGAAGCTTTTCTCTTGGCAATAAAAGAAATACAAAAGTGCATGCATGCTAGCAAATTTTAAATTCTGTTTGAAAGAATTTTTAAACTATAGATAAGCATTGAATTGCATCAAGTTATTTTTCTGCAAAACTAAGTTTGTCAGATGAATTTTCTGCTACTTTAATTTCTACTGTTCATTCACATTCTAATCATAATATGAACCCAGATTCAACATGATATAATGTCCTTTTTAAAAATCTATTGCTGAGTTCCATTTGCTAGTATTTTGCTGGTAATTTTGGTGTCTTATCTCATAAGTGAGATGGCTTATAGATTTCATTTTCTCTATTATACTCTGTGGAGTTGAGTGTCAAGGTTATGTAATCTTTATGACTTTAGAGTATTTGAATAGCATAGCATTCTGATCTAGAAAAATTACAAGCACTGCACAGAATCACGTGTTAAAATCGCCAGTATAAAGACTTATTTTGCTTCCAAAATTTATATCTTCTAATACTATTCTTTGGATTTGTATAAACTCTACTAAGATTAAAATTTGTAAAGATTTTTTGATCTTTAAGAATGGTTCCCCTTTAACAGCAGAAAAGGCAACAAACCCATTTATAGTATGGCAAAAAACTACAAGCAAAACTGACTGATTACATCATGACTTCTTCTCTTTCACCTGCTCTAACTTTGATCCCTGAAATGTCAGCCTAACTTTGGATTCTGCCTCTTGGCATTTCTGCCTCTTATTTTCATTTTGCGTATCATTTGACTCCACTAATAATATATCTATGTTGACTAATTACTAACTTTCACAGCAGAATTATATTCTTTCTCCTTTCCTGACTTGTCTAGTTTTATTTTTTATTGAAATTTGGGATTTGTTTTATATATAAAACAAATACATAAAACATATGTATATATGTATGTTATATGCATATAAGAATATATGTATATTTGTTACATGCATATAAGAATATACATATAGATATATATATATATAAGTGTGCATGTGTATGTATATATGTCTGTGTGCAAAACTCTGGAAAGAAATTCCCATATGGAAATCCTAGTAAACCTATACTGCAATGACAAAAAGCCACTACTCACAGTGGACTATAAAGGAGGTAGGAAGATTAATAACATAGAAACAGAAGTAAAATTTGTAGGTGATGAAAATGGTCTGTATCTATATCAATATGTGGGTATACACATTTATCAAAACTCACCGACTCTAAACATAAGTACATTTTATTGTTTGTAAGTTACACTTCAATAAAGTTGATTAAAAATGGAAAATGTTTCTATTTTGGAGTTTATTCACTAGTAATGCACCAGAAGCTGTAGTCAAATTAGTGGCAGTATTCTTTGAGGTATACAGCATGTTATGGAAGAAATCCATTAATGTGACATTTATTAACGATGTTTTTCCCCCCTTTTTTTTTTTTTGAGACGGAATCTCACTCTGCCACCCAGGCTGGAGTGCAGTGGCCTGATCTCACCTCATTGCAACATCTGCCTCCTGTGTTAGATCTATTTTCCTGCCTCAGCTTCCTGAGTAGCTGGGATTACGGGCATGCACCGCCACGCCTGGCTAATTTTTGCAGTTTTATTTTTCTTAATAGAAATGGGGTTTCATCATGTTTGCCAGGCTGGTCTTGAAATCTTGACCTCAGGTGATCCACCCACCTTGGCCTCCCAAAGTGCTGGGATTATAGTTGTGAGCCACTGCCTGGCCAAAGATGTCCTTTTTAAAAAACTTGTCATTAATAGAGGACTTCTCTAGGTAGCATTGATTAATAAATTTTATTTGGCCAACTTCACACTCATGGCATTTGTAGCAATGGAATTTAATTGAAGTTAATTTGGGTAGGATATTGTGAAACTCTATTGGAAAATACTGCCTTATTCTGGGAGGTTGACTTGTCATCCATAGATTATTTCAGCATACAATCATTCACATTAAAAAAAGAATAGCTAGCTTTGTTGGATGTGTGATTTGGTTGCACCAACAAAAAATAATTATATACAAAAAACAAATACCATTCTAAATTGCAAGCACACCTCACCTTTTCAGCCCTCAGCACAATTGATTAACTTTCTAAACTAATTACTGTCCACCAGCTAATATGTCAGCAGTCTAGGTTTACCTACCATTGAAGACAAACTAGTGACTTCAGAAAATATATTCCCATTTGTATATGATTAAAATATATAGACTGTGTAAACCCAATTATTCTTGAAACATAAAGGATACATTAAAACCTCTTAGTACAACTGATATTATAGAGATTTATCAATGAGTCTACCATACAAATTAGCAAGCAAGAACATAGGCCAGGCAGAATGTAAGTAAACAAGATATCTCACAAAAACAACAGTCCACACAGAACACTTATTCTTTCTGTCTTTAGGTTGCTCTTTTAAACTAGAGGTCAGCAAACTTTCTTTATACAGAACCATAGAGTAAATATTTTATGGCTTGCAGACCATATTTTATTTGTCACAACTCCTCAACTCTGCCATTGCAGCATGAAAGTGGTCAAACAAAAATTACTTTATTTTCAGGCTTTCCTTCCAGGACTTATTTTCTATCCCATGTTTTGTGTGTGTGCGTGTTTATTTCAGTTACATAGGTTTCCTTTTCACACTGGAGTGCTAGTAACAAATTACTGAATGTACCTCTGTTCCAATAAGAATTTAGCATCAAAAGTAGGAGACTGGCAATAGTTAGCCCCCAGGCCATAGTTTACTGAACTCTGTTCTAAATTATCATTAGAAAACTAATGGTACTCAAACATTCTACTGGGCCAAGATCCTTTTTGCTTGCCTCCCATACATTTAGAAATATGTATAGATTATATTAGTACCGGAACTGACAAATCAATGATGTTGCAATTATAAAAGCTGTTTTCCATCCCTTATTAGTAAAATAAATTAAGAAATGAGTTTAGGAAACAGGTAATTACACTTTATAAAATCATGAGGTGAATTTTTATGACTGAGCAGTGTTGCAGTCCCTGAAGTCGTCTCCAATACATGGCATCTCTCAATTTCAACCATGCTCTTTAGATATGAGAAATATACCTAAGGAATCAAGATAAAAATGGAAATGTCAAATACAGTTTTGACAGAGATCAGGTAGAAGGACATAATGAGGCAGCCAGATGGTTCTGTTAAGTACATATTAGAATTAAATATATTTATCCACCTTCAAAAAGTGTCACTTGATGTAATATGGATTTGCCCTTTTGGAGCAGAGCAAAGCAGGATCTCCATCTATATGTACTTAACTGCAAGAAAAAAGAGGCTCGAGATAAGATAAGCATGCCTAGCTAGCCCTTCCAAATTTGCATATCTGAGCATTCTTTTTACCCTTCAGAATCAAGAGTGATTATAAAGGAAGACTGAAGTATTCCCACTAACAAATGAGATTAAGTCTCTTATTTAGTACTAATATATTCGACTGTCTTCTTTGACAAGTACACTATTTTCAATATCTGAACTTCAAAGACTGCTGTTTGAAAGTTACATTTAGTGAATTTTTCAAAAATTATTAATCTTTGGTGGATTCTAAATACCTCTTTTCTATCATTACATTCATAGTCAATAGGCACATCAATAACATTTTATTTTCATGACTATACACTGCTGATTGTAATGTACTCATTAGAGATTTATGTAGACTAATATTTATTTCCGTAAAATATTCTACTGTAATGTAAAACCAGTTGAATTCTGATTTCTGCAATTCTGGAGGGCTGCTAAAGCATAATTTTTTTCTCATTGTTGTGTTAAATAGTACTTCTCTTTTATACATTCTGAAATTTTATTAGTAAACTGTGCATATTATAAATGTTAGAAATAATAAATGAGATGTCCTAATTTTATGCTGATATGTGGATTAGAAAATAATAGAAAAATTTTCCAAGTTAAATATCTAGCTCTAACTTTAGACATGTAATGTAGATACATCTTATAAATAAATACATTTTATTGTTTTATTACTTTTTCTCCTGCTTAAAAAGATAAACAATTAAATTGAAATAACCTTTAGAAAAATAGACTAGTAGAAGTTCCAAAAGAAAAAACTTGGAAGTGAATTAAAGAAATTAAAATTTTTGTTTGTGCGCATGTAAGGGAGTTCATATTTTTGCCTTAATTAATTAATGTTAAGCATTATTTGGATATCTGTTTTACTTTTTTCCAAATTTTCATTAAACTACTATTTTCTTTTGAGATATTTTTGATTGAAGATGATGCTACCTTGATGAGAGTATATTTCTATAAACTGACAACTGGGAAAACATTTTGAATTTTCAATTCCAGGTATTTTAAATGTGCAGGTTAGATAAGATATTAATGGAATTATGGTGAGCGATATGACCTTTAGATTATTTTATGTAACCCATGATTTTTATTATAATGCATTCAGTAAACATGTTTTTGAGAGCCTTTTTTTAGGTGACCTTTTACTTAGGAGTCTATACTATTGAGATTTAGTAAGTCATAAAAAAGGTTAAAATAGAATACAAACAGTTATGAATAAAATGGCATGAACATTAAGGGATTATTTAAAATGAATCATAGTCCTTATATAAGACTTGATTTCAACATTATGTTTCTGACTTTTGTCTCTTGTTAACACCTGTCTTTCTTGAATATAGATATCTAGTAAACAATAATTAAGACAGATAGATGATAGAGAGATAGCACATTTTGTGCTAATGAAATCTGGGAATCAGAATTCCATTTACATTTTTCTCCTAATCCTAATCCTACTCAGGGTAGTAGGATCTTAAGAGGGGTGGAGACTTTGCACTGGTGATGTTTGTCTTTGAACAGTCAAATACTCTATGATGTCATTTGGATATGTATCATTTCTTGCACTTGTTTTTGGCCTTGAATCATTTTCTATTGTGGAGGCTAATTTAAATGTGTAGAAAAGAATAATATGCTCAGCCTTATTAATCTACACAACATGTAGTGTCTTATTCAGATTATTTTTATTAATTCTTCAAAGGCCCCTCTGCATCATGTCAAACCCCATGATAATTTCTCCCTTTCCCCAAGTCGTTTTTATAATGAATTCAGAGTTCAGTATCCCATGCGTGTTTACACACTTTTACATAAACCTTATCTGATATTGTTATGCATATCTAAATCTTTCCATAAATGATTCTTACCTAATATGCCATCTTAAATTTTGTTTCTTTCATTTCATGGTACCTTTCTTAGGTACCAAGTTAATATATATAGTACTAGTTGATTTATTTTAATTCCTCAGTAGAATTCCATTGGATGGATATTTCAACATATATTTATTCAAAAACTGTTGATGGACATTTAAGCTATTTGAATTTTTTCTCATAAACTATGCTATAATGGAAAACAAGTGCATGTAAGTTATTGTGCCTATTTGTGGCTTTTTCTAGAGAATATATGTAGAAATAAAATCCCCAGGTAAAAGAGTGTAAGCCTGCTGGATTTTAATTAATTTCATCAAATAGCAATTGAATTAATCAATCTTTATATTACAATTTTTTTCTGCTTTATGTCAAAGAAAACTTTTTCTATTTACCAAGTAAATTGTCTAAAATTTTTACATTTTACATTGAGTTTTGTCTCTATATTGATTATTGTAAGCCATTTAAGTTTATTTCACTTTTGGCATGTTGAATGAATCTAAATTTATTTCTCTTTATGTATCACCAATTGTCTCAAAATAGCTACTGACATTTAATTTTACACTTGTCATTTAAAAAGTTTCCATACCTATGTTATCTTCTGGTTCTGGGCTCTCTAATCTTACCCATTTGTTTGTCTATCATGAGACTAAAAATAGTAATAATAAAATGGTAATTTAACTTGGTAAAGGTACCAGATGCTGTCCTAAGTACTTTATAAATATTTAACCACTTAATCTTTTTTTTCCTTTTTTTGAAACAGGGTTTTACTCTGTCACCCAGGTTGAAGTGCAGTGACACCACCAGGCTCACTGCAACCTCAATCTCACAGGCTCAGGTGATCCTCACACCTCAGCTTCCCAAGTAGCTGGAACTACAGGCATAATCATTTAATTTTATAACCACTTAGGAGGTTGGAACTTTTTTTTACCCTAAATATCTATGTACTTAACCAACATTTAGAAAATACCTTTATTTTTACTATACCTCCTACCAGTTAACCAGGCTATGGTGGAAAGAAACAGACTCTTACAGGTAGGATTCACATTATCCCTGGTTAACAGTTGAGAGGGAGAGATTCTAAATAATTTTTCTAAGATGACAGAGTACATGGTAAAGCAAGTTGGAACCCAGACATTTGAATCCAGAGTTGGGCTTTCAATTTTTCAGGTTATACTGCCTTTCTAATACCACGCTGTCTGTGAGAGACACTACTATGTGTTACCAAGACGTATTTCATTTTTCTGTTGGGCATAATTACTAACCTGTAATTTCCCAGCCTCTCTTATAGCAAGGTATGGTTGTATAATCATGTTCTGACCAATGGATGGTGAGAAGATGTGATGTGTGCCATTCTGAGTCTTAGATGATAAACAAGTTCCCATGTATGATCTTTTATTTCTCTGTTTATGTGCAAGATAAAGATGCTTGATTAAAGGATATATCATATCACAAAGAGTCGAATAATCATAAGATGCATTGAGCCTCGTCTCTATATCATAGTGTGGAATGCAGGTGCCAAATAATTGTTTTGAAGTGTTAGGTAGGTAGGAAATCATATTCTAACACTTTGCTGTCTTATACAGTAGCCACTAGCCACATTAGGTACTAAAATTTAAATTTAAATGTATTAAAATTAAATAATATTGAAATTTTAGTTACACAACCACTCTAGCCACATTTCAAGTACTCAGTAGCTACATATAGCTAGCAAGTGGCTAACATATTAGACAGAATATATACAGATATTATACACTCACACATATATATGTCAAAAGTAAAACTTTAGACAAATTAAATTTAGCAGAGTTTCCTTGAACAAAGAATAATTCACAAATTGGGCAGCATTCAGAACTAGGAAAAGTTCAGAAAGCTCCACTCAGCAATGCGTGCAAGCGGTATTTATAGACGGAAAAAGGAAGTGATATATAGACAGATTGGTTACACCTCAATATTTGCTTTACTTGGTCATGGTATACTGAGGCATTTGTTTTATATGGACATGATTTGATTGACTGACAACCTGGGATTGGCTGAAGCTTAGCTGCTATGATTGGCTAAGACTCTGCTATTTGTTACTCTAAAGAAAATATAACCTTAAATTAGTATACAACTTGTTTACATACTAAATTAAGTTACAATTTTCTATATAGAGATTCAAAGTACAGAGGCAAGTTGAGGCTGAGTTAATATAACATATAGAATATTCTCATTGCAGAAAGTTTTGCTACAGAATATTACTCCAAAGTGTTAACCTACTGCAATTTTGGAGACTATTATAGCATTTAGCATATGTTGACAAAGTTTCTTTTCTAAAAACCTACAATTAATCTAATTAAATTATTTCACATATTTTATTCTTCAAAAAATCTTGACTTTTATTTTCTCACCAAGTTGTACTAATTTAAAACCTCAACCAGTAGTGCATAGTAATCTCTAATGCTTCACATATTCTCTAGCATCTGTTATGGTCAGTATTTTACATTTTCAATTTTAGCCATTATAATATTATAATGCTGTCTAGATGAGGGTTTGTTTTGTGTTTGTTGGTAACTAATGAGGTAGATGCTTTTTCATATGCTCCTTAATCATTTTGATAGTTTCCTTTGTTTGTCCTCCTTACCATTTTGCTTTGCTCTTCTACGTTATTTTCAAACAGACATGTATATTTTTGGTTTTGACTTTTATCTGTGTTTGCATTGTGTCTGGATCTGAGAAGTTTACTGAAGCCTAAATTAACTGCTTTGACTTGGATGTTTGGCCTTGCATTTTTGACAAAGCTGTCAGTTCTGACACCATTTTTCTTCCTCAAACTCTGGCACTGGTTTATTCTTGTTTGATTAGACATGTTTATCCATGCCTACAAGGATACCTCTCATATTCTACAGGCTCAAGATCCATTGACAACCTTTCCACAGTCTGACCCTTACCATGCAATGTCAATAAGACCCAATCTAAATCCACTCCACTTATTTTGACTTCTTTGCTTTGTTGTTTTAATTATATTTCCTGGCTTTGATATCTGATTTATATGGTCCAAGGTGTTTAAATTTTTGACCTTGTATATTCATCTTAATTAACCTTACTTTGCACCAAGGGATTCCATTTGGATGGGGAGATGACCCTACTTCTTCATCTTTGCATGTTTGCTAACTTAAATTCCCACAGTGATCAAACATGTTTTGCCCAATAAAAGTCAAATATTATACTAAAATAATTTTAAAACAATGTCAGAATACAGTCAGGAAATGAGTAAAAAAATGGTTATTGTGATATAAATAAGCTATCTGATTTTAAAAAGTAATTTTAGATTATATACATATTTTTTCTGACACCTATTGTAACAATACTGATAAATAAAATAACAAAATTCAGGACCCAAGCTAATGAAGGTGCCACCACATTCAACATGTGGGTCCGAGGTCACTCTGAGGGTCATTTCATTACAGCCACCTGGAAGGGGAAGGAAATAAATGAGCATCTGGGAGATTTCATAAACCAAATAAGAAAGTAGAAGATAGCACTTCCCTGTGGTAGCCAGCCTTTTAAAAGGCCTCAGTGATCTCTGCCTCCTGGTATTCACAATAATGTATTGGTCTCTTCCACAACGAATGTTGCTGACCTGTGTAACAAGTAAGATATTGCAGAAAAGAGAGTATGAGACTTCAAAAACTGAATTTTACTGTCTTGAATCACTTGAAGGATATCCAAATAGCACCACTGACAGGGCCATGTAACCCAAAGCTAAAGCTTTTCTGCTAATAGCCGAGCCATCATGGAAGTGGGTACTCAAGCCCTGGAAAAGCCTTCAGATGACTGTAAATTCAGGCCTTACCTTGACTGCAGCCTCATAAGGGACCCTGAGCCACAACTATTAATTAATACTCTTCTGAATCCTTAACTTTCAGAAATCATAAAATAATAAATATTTGTTATTTTAAAAAGAGAAAATGAAAAGAAGAGAACAAAACTCTGACATTTCAATCATTCTGTTCACAGAGAAACAAAATGAAATAAGAATTCTCTGTACTGCTCTCCAGTGATTAATACTGGATGCTAAAATTGAGAAAAATTATTTTGTCATAGGTTATTGCGTTGTCAATTCAATAAGCTGTACACATTCTAAAATAATAAGAAAGTTGTTTTTAAGGAGTAAAGCATTTTATTCATTTTATCTAGAAACAATTAAAATTTTGAAATCATTGAATTTTAGTAATATTAGTGCTGTGTTTGTTCTCCCAGGCTCAGAATATCTTGACTAAATTATCTGAAATGGTAAAGTACAAAATTATCATAGCATAATGATAAATATATGTATATATAATGTTATATATAACATTATATATGTTACTTTATATAGAACATTATATGTTACATTATATATAACATTATATATAATAATATATAATAATATAATAATATATAATGTTATATATAATGTAATATATATGTTTATATATATAATGTTATATATATAAGGATGTTTTATATATATATAAAAACATCCTTCTCATCAGTCTTTTGAATAGGCTAGCTCCATTGTACATACTTATTATGCATTAATCCGTACTAATAAAACACATAGTAGTGACAGTTGATATATTTTGACTCAATAACTGAAAAATTGCTAGTTATCTTTTATATTCCTGTAATAATTTTTTTCTTTTCAGATTATGTTATTAATTTTATGAAATGCGGCACACTGTTTACCAGTGGAAGAGTCCCATTCTAGGACAAAATGCTATGTATGATTTTTTTAGGCCCAACCATAAAATATTATAATGAGGTAGACCTCATGGGGGCAGGCTGCCCTCCCCAGACCAGATGTGCTACACAGTCAGTGCATTACAATTTTCTGGAGGAAATTGCATTGACACAGATTTATACTACTTTTGCTCTCTGCCAACTATGCTTATATACATATTTGCACTCCTAGCCCGGATGCCTTCATTTTGAGGCCTATTTTTATGAACTTGGCTGAGGCAGTTTGACCCTATTTTGATTCAGTACTTATCCATTTCTAACATTTTCTCTTCTTCTCCTTGAAGTTTCCTAGATCCAGAAACAAACAAACAAAGAAAAAGAAAACAAAAAACAGAAGCCTTTTGTTTTTGGGCTCTTCCGCAGTGAAACAATTTTCCCAACATTTATTGCATGTCTTCCAACCTTTGCCTATGACAGTCTGTTGAGAAAAGTTTAACAGAAGGAAGCCAACATCTTTTGCTTTTGCCTCTGAATGTCCGGTTTCAGTAAGTGAATAAAGACATGATTGTTCCTTTCAGTTTGGTTCATCGTCATAATGAACCACCTTGCCTCCTGGCAGCTCACAATTAATAGTATATCTATAAATTTATATATCAATATGAGTAAATAAAGTATTGATATCAACACCACATCTTTTGTGCTACACTTGGCAATAATTACATGTTAATTTTCTTTATGTTCTAATACTTGTCTGTTTTTGGCAAACAGTAAATATAATCTTGAAAATGAAAATGCTCTCTTTCCAATTTATATTTTCCTATCTAATCATCTATCACTTACTGAATAAACATGATTCTATTTCTCCAAATATTCTCTTTACTTTTATGTATTTATTGTTTATATGTTAAAGCTATGCAATTTAGCCATCAGATCCTCATATCTGCTAATTTATCTTTATAGACTGTATTAGTCTGTTCTCGCACTGCTATGAGGAAATACCTAAGACTGGGTAATTTATAAAGAAAAGAGGTTTAATTGGCTCATGGCTCTGCAGGCTGTACAGGAAGCATGATACTGGCATCTGCTTGACTTCTAGGGAGGCCTCAAGAAGCTTACAATCATTGTGGAAGCAAAAAGGGAAGCAGGCACATCTTACACGAACAGAGCAGTAGCAAGAAAGAGTGGGGGTAGATGCTACACACCTTTAAATGACCAGATCTCACAAGAACTCACTATTGCAATGATAGTGCCAAGAGGGGTGGTGTTAAACCATGAGAAACTGTCCCCATGATCCAATCACCTCCCACCAGGCCCCACTTCCAACATTGGGGATTATATATAATTCAACATGAGATTTGCATAGGAACACAGATTTAAACCATATCATATACTAAAATTTGTACCATTTATTTTATTGCATTTTTCATTGATAACTTTTATATTTTAGTACCATTATAAATTCACAGCAAAATTAAGCAGAAACTACTAGGATTCCCATATGCTCACTGCTGCACACAGGCACCATCTCCCCTACTATCAACATCCCACAACACAGTGATGCATTTACCAATATATTTATGTTAACACATCTCTATCAACCTAAAGTTTATATTTTATATTTGGGTTCACACTGCATACTCTACATTCAATGAGTATTGACAAATATATAATGACATGTGTCTACCATTACGGTGTTCTAACTTCTCTGATGGATTTAAGAAAAGTTCCCAATTTTTCAGATCAGCTTTTTACCTATTAGATGTAGGGGCAACTTCTGAGGTCCCTACATGATGGACTGGAAATCAGAAGTACACCTTACAATTTTAAATAGTCCTCCCATGACTGATTTTATATTTTCCACTTAGTTTATTATCCTTTCTTATGTTAGGATTGTCAGAGTTAATTTCTCTTTTGATTTGCTTTTGACTTTTATTTTAGATTCAGGAGGTGCATCTGCAGGTTTTTTACCTGGGTATATTACTACGTCAAGTAGTTTTTGTTGAGATGAGTTCTATTTGTCTGCCACCCTCTTCCTTCAAATCCCTCTCTATTTTGATTTTCCTTTTTTTTCAGTTTAAAATTTCACATTTTTGGATAAATAATTTCTTTCTGGAAGAACTTTTTAGAAGGTTATTTGTGGATAGTAATCAAAATCATATTATAAATTAAAAGGAAATCTCTCTGGTTCACATTGAAGTTTATGGTGATACAGGGATTTTAAATTATGTTGGTTTTCTTAGTCTTTACTTCCTTCTAGTCAACTAAAATTGGCAGCTACAAGTCTTTCAATGCGGATTCTTTCTATACCACTGTGACACATGAACAGGCCACACTTTACAAGTAAGTGCTGGTTGATTCTTCTTCGAGAGCCACATCTGCTACTTTGGTATCAAGCTGAGTCAAAGAAGAGCTCTTTGCTAGCCTATGAAATCTGTAAAAATTATCGTTGGATATAATCAGTAAGAGTTTTGCCTATTTTAGAAAATTGTCTCTTGCTATCTTCTTTTTAATCTTTATTGCTGCTGAAAACTTGTTTTTGCCTTCTTTTTGTAATTTTGTCTGAATATCTATATATTTAGTAGCATTTTCTTACATATTGTGAATTAGCAAAATTGATGTCCCCACTAACATGTGAAGATGTAGTTTTTTTCCTGTTTAATATTTTATATTAAGACTTTGGGTGATTTCTGAGAAGATGTATGTCACTTTACTTGTAGAGTTAAGAACTGAAATTGTTACACTCTTTGGATATATGTAGTATGTATTAGTAATCTATTGCTGTATAACAAATTACACCCAAACTTAGTGACTCAAAGCAACATGCAATTATTATCCCACAGTTTCTTTGGGCTTGATATTTGGCGCTGCTTACTTGAATCCCTGTATAAAGATCTCTCACAAGATTGCACATAAAGTATCAGTTAAATCCCAATCATCTCAAGATTCGAGTGGACAGGACCCAATTCTAAGCTTACTCAGTTGTTACTGGAAGTATTTCGTTTCTTTTGAGCCGTTTAAATAGAGGCCACAAGTTATTTTTTGTTAAGTTGGTCACTCCATAGGTCATGTCACAGCATGGCAACATGCTTCATCAGTGCAAGCCAAATTTTAAAGCCAGAGAGAGGGCTGGCAAGACAGAAGTCACAGTCTTTTATAACCTAATCTAGGAAGCCACATCTCATCACTTTTTTGGTATTCTATTTATTAGAAGTAAGTCACTAGACCCAGCCTACATGCAAGAGAATGTTGTTACACAAGGGCACAAATATTATCAGATGGGAATCATTTGGGGCCATCTTAGAGGCTGCCTATCACAAAATGTTAATTCATATTTAAAAATAGTAGACCAAAAAACTATTAAATACAGGCTAATTGTTAATACATTTTTTGAAATATTTAACAAGTACAATAAGTGTGAAAAGGGTAACCATGTAAGCAAGACTGTCAGGAATGGCAAGAGTTAGAAAATACATTAACATATGTTATTTATGAAAATATTTAAAAATTCATGATTATTAATGAATAGATGTTATATACGTTTACAAAATAATAAACAAAAATTTATAGAGACTGAACTACAAATGCAAATGCTACAAATACTATGCAGAACCTAGCTCAGGTTTGCAGAAAGTGCTCATTGGATGATGTAATGCAGGGCTAAATTTTTATTGATTAGTACAGAGTTTGGGAATGTAAAAGCTAAATATGCTAGCTAAATATTACCCTTGATATAGACTGTATATCATTTGAATGCATTTAAAGATTCTCTCTCCTGCAAGAAAGTGTGCTTTTGTTATATCTAAAAGGTGAAGTGACCTTCCTAGTAAAAATAATCAGAGCCCAGGTTTTCAATTTAATCCAGTTATACTACACTGATCATATAAAAATGACTTTGGCCGAGGTGAGCGGATCACTGAGGGCCAGGAGTTCAAGACCAGCCTGGCCAATATGGTGAAACCCCATCTCTACTAAAAATACAAAAATTAGCTGGGCATGGTGGCTCACACCTGTAATCCTAGCTACTTGGGAGGCTGAGACACAAGAATCACCTGAACCCAGGAGGCAGAGGTTGCAGTGACCCGAAATCTCAGCACCGCACTCCAGCCTGGGTGAAAGAGTGAGACTCTGTCTCAAAACAAACAAACAAACAAAAATTCAGGCGAAATGGAATTTAGTATGTTACAAATAGAAAAATTAATAAGTTCTAAGTTTTTTACTGTGAAACTTGTCAGAATCAAAACATAGTCAGTTGTGTTTTAAAAAAAGGACTAATAGAGCCAGGGAAAGCTATGAAGAGAGGTTCTCACACCTTAATGCATGATAACCATAACTATCACAAAAGACTCTGGCAAAACCACAACCTTGCACAAAGACCATCACAACTTTACCTACAAAATGCTTTCAGAAGGATATCTGCCCAGCAACTGCTTATCCAGTCTTGGAGAGGCATTACGCTTGCTATTGATCCTTGTAGGCAAGAATAATTTTCTAAAAACAATTCTGTGTTCAGAAGTGGGACCTGAAAGAAGAACACTATCTGAAGGACTTGGCAAATCTTGGAATCAGTGTACAGTACTCAATTGTACCCTTCCAGGTTTCTGGTTCTATGGCTTGCCCTTTCTGCCCTGGGAAGTCTCTCTCAAGACAAAGCTCCCCTTATTGGTAGAAGTATTTTGATTTGATTTGAGATTTCTGTTTGTTGTAAGGCCTCCTTTTTAAAAAAATAACTTACATTCCTCCTGAGATTAAAACATTTTTGTCTCTTCTGGAAAGTTATTTCTGTGTAAGGACAAGTGTCCTGGTTTGAATGCTCTTTTTCTGCAGAAATTACATTCTGCCTCTGAGGTATGTATTTTCTGATGAATTTACTTCTGGTTTCTTTTGCTTGCATAATATGATATTTTGTTTGAGCTGCTTACATGGGTTAAAAACTTGGTGAACACTCTAACTTTGGTTTGGTTACACATATCTGTAAGTGCTTTGGCTTCTTTCTCTTGCCTAGAAATCTTTTGAGAGCAAAAACAAGCACTCTAAATGGTGGGTGCAGAATGGTTAGTTAAAAGCCACAAAGACAGTCACCATGATCTAAAATAGTCAAAACTCCTGACATTCTCTAACATAATTTATTAGATTTTACTTGCTCTAAAGAGATTAATAGGATACAGAATGGTATTCTCAAACATTAAGGCAGGCCAGATTTTCTGGGACTTCAGCTGGCTATGTTATGGACCATTCTTATGTGTATTATTAAACTTATGGGCAAATTACATCAAAGAAAATTCAAAGTTCAAATTGTTATTATTTAAATGTTTTTTTAAAACCCTGCAACTATTGAATTAACATGTAGAGCCTTCTAAGGTCTCTACCTCTCTATTTTTTTTCTGCCTACGTTAAATTTGATGAATTTTCTGCTGATGTTGAGATAAAGCACACTGCCAATGGCATTACAGCCAAGATTTTTTTTAATTAAAAATGTCTTAAAGGGTATTCAAGTTAATGGCTTTACAAATTTCAACAGCTCCATGGTAAATGACAGCCTAGAACTAAGAGTTATTTCTTTAAAGTAAATTTAGGTTTGCCTGACTAACAATTGTTTAGGGTGATGGAACAATTAACTGAAGAATTGATATTCTAAAAGAAAAAAAATTTATAAACGTTAGGCATTCAGATCAAACAGGTCAACACCTTGAGTTCAGATAAATAATATTTGATACATTTGTCTGGCATAAAAGTTGCCTTGTCTGTCACAATGGGGCCAAATAGAAAAAGTCCAAAAAAATTCTGCTAAAGTCTTTCCCCATCCATATTGACTAGTGAAAAAAATCAAAATGCCAAACAAAAAAATATATTTGTTATTAATCCAAGGTAATTTAGAGATTTTGTTTTGCTTAAACAATTCAGCCAGTCCTAGATAAATGTAAGCATTAAACATTTAACCCTAAACTCATTATTGTAAAACAGGGCAAGAAAGGTTTTTGTTTGTCTGATTTGAGCAAAATTTTGGTACAAAGCCTTTATTAGATTACTTATTGGGGCAAATAAAGTTTTAGCCATGTAAACAGGGCCTGTTTTGTCAAAAACATAATTTGGATTTGACTATCTTCTTAAACTAGAGAGTTTGTATGTTTTACGGTGTCATGACTAAAATTATAAAATGAAAGCTATAAGATTCTTTGTGTGTGTGTATAGATGTTTAGAAGTATTTACACATATGTACATGTATTATGTTTTATGTTGTGTTTATATGGTAAAATCTTGTGTAGCTGGTCCAAATATCTCAGGAAATTCTATTCAAACTGGCTTAGATTAATAAGCAATAATTGAATACCAAATAGCTCCCAAATGCCTTTTTCTTCATGTAACTTAAGGGACTCTTGATAAATCAGCTTATTTTAAAATTGTTAGTGAAATAAAAATAAATATGTCTCCAAAATAATCAGGATATATTTCATATGCTTTTTCCTGTATTTCTTGGTCAGACATATTTAAAGTTGTCCCTGTTAGATATTTTAAGATCATAAAACTCAACCAAGCTTGTTCAACCTGCAGTCAGCGAGACACATGCAGCCCAGGATGGCTTTGAATGCAGCCCAATACAAATTCGTAAACTTTCTTAAAACATTATGAGATTTTGTGTGTGTGATTTTTTTTTTTTTTTTTTTTTTTTAGCTCACCAGCTATCACTTGTGTTAGTGTATCTTATGTATGCCCCAAGACAATTCTTCCAATGTGGCCCAGGGAAGCCAAAAGATTGGACACCCTGCTCTAAACCCAACTTAAAAACAAAATAACCTTTGTGTAATGCTTTGATAAGAATAATTTAATAAAATATTGGTTTAATAAAAACAATTGGTTTAATAAAACCCACAAAATATTGGTTTAATAAAAACATTTTCTGATTCTTCAGGAAAATACCCATATATTAAACTTTAAGGTTCTTACTTGGATGAACAACTAATAATCACAGCCTATAAAGATGGCAAACAAATCAAAATAATTTGAAATAATGACCACTTCTGTCTAATATCTCAATTTTATGAGTAATCTAGATAAATCATTAAAATTAATAAATCAGGTAAATGTAAATGAGTAAACATATATAAATGACCTTTTCATGTAATTTGAAAACTTTATTTTATGTTAGATTAAATAATAGATACTCATTAAATATCTGGGTCATTTCCAAGTAAGATAACAACTTGAAACAAATTGCTGAACATAAATTTTTTTCCTTGGTTTCTTAAATATTATAGAAATAATAAATATATTAAGTTCTATTAATGCACATTAAAAATTATATTTTGGGGAAATATGTTTCTAAAATTATAAAATGGTTCTCATCTGTAAAGTCTGATAATTTCCAGATATTTCAAAATTTCTTTTTAAAAATTAAGGTTGCTGAAAGGTAAAATGTAAATATAAATATATAAATATAAACAAATAAATAAATACGTGTATGAATACAGAGTTTACCAAAAGACAATGTGTGCTTGTGATTGTAAAAAAATATTTAAAAGTTGTAAAAATGGGTTCTTTATGGTGAAAAATATTTTTTTCTAATTTAAAGGTGAAAGTCTTTCAGAATATAGATTTAAGAAGAAAATTAAAACATGATAAAAATAAAGCAGTAATGAAGAAAGGGATGTAAACAAACTATGGGTATGAAGACGCATTACTGGTAAGAAACATTTTACAAAGGGAATAATTTTGTATAAAATTTATCTTATGTTGTTGGTTTTTATCATAAAGGAAAATGTCCTATTATTTAAGAAAGAGAAAGTATAGGACAAAGTAGACAGTTTAAGAATGTTATCAAAGGAATGGCATCTTAGGCAGGCTTTTCCATGGTCAAAATTCTGAATTGTCTTTTTGACTTAAAATGAACTTTGGGATTTTTTAGTTGGATCCTGGGAAGCTTTAAAATATCTCTCTCTTAAATTGAGAGATACTAAATAATTAGGGTTATTTAGTAAACTGTATAGGAAACATTGCCAAATGATAAGTGATACTAGATTTTCTTTCAGATACATTTATGGGTATTTTGTTAAAATCAATGTTTCAACATTGTATAAAACTCTTAAAAATCTAATATGCCATCAATCATAATTCTTGTTACTGTTTTGTATGCCACAAACAACCAAACTTCTTTGTAATTGCTGATTATAGAGAAATTATATCAAACTTTTTACCATGGCTATTGTAAGTCTCTGTCATCCACAATTTTGATTTTTCTGAAAAAGTACATGACATCAGATTAATGGAAAAGACTCTGAGGACTCTTAAGTAGAGGTTTCTGATAGTTTTATGATCAATGGAATCAATAAAAATTTTCCAGAACGCTGGTAAAGAAACTCATTGATACATAAAACTGTTAATCAAGATAAAATAAAATGAAACCTAATTACATGAGATTGAATGACTGATGAAGATAATGTTTTTGTGACTTTTATTTGAAATATCATGGATTCTTTATTTAAATATTTTGTGTCCAGATCTTAGAAAGTTTTATTTCTTAAACTATCTATAGTTTATAGCAGTTTGGTAAAGTGTACTTTTGTAAATAAATGTAGAAACATTTACTTTTTCTCACTACTTGATACCTCCAAAATTTAAAAAGTATTAATGACCATTTGTCTTTTTATTGCAATGTGGTTATTTAAGTTTAATGACAATTTGTGCTCTCTTCATAATATGCTGCAATCGAAAACGTTGATTATATTACCAAGATTTTTGCTGAAATACCATATTTGAAAATGTGCATAGAATGCTTGGGTTCAAGGGCTCCAAGCCTTACAGTGAGTGAGTACAAATGTGATTTCCTGGCAGGCACATAAACCTTGAGACTGAAAGTAAAATATAAAGTCTGCTCTGGTTTGGCTTCCTAACTTTAAGAGGTTTTAAATCTGAGATTAATATTTAATTTATGTAGAGAGAAAAACTGTGTTTTAAAAAGAACTATAAAACATCTGTGTTTAGATGTTGTTCTGTGCATTGTTTTTGAGTTCTTTATATACTAGACTAGATCCTCAATTCTTCTGGATTTCCCCAATCTAACTCTCTTCCATGGGATTACTAAAAAATGAAAACTATTCTGTTTCTGAAGCTCTATAAGGTGAAAATTGATGGATTAAAAGAAGAGAGTGAAAACAAGCCTGATAAATGGGCCACACAAAAAGTTTACCAAACTGTCTTATGTCATAAATTAAGATATTAAAACTGCAAACCAGGATGAGAAACATATTTTCACACTTTAGATCATTTTTTTCCAAGATGACTTTATATTATAATGAGACTTTAACCCCCTTAATGCCAACCTTTTTTACTTGCTAGGATAGTGATCATTTGATTTGTTCAAATGGTTGCCTTTAAGCACAGATTTATGACTCAAAACCATTATGCAAACTGAGATTGTAACATTACTGTTAATTTTACCTTGTTTTCCCTCTTTATTTTTTACTTTTTTCTTTATTTATTTTGATTTTATTTATGTATTTATTTTTAATTTTGTGGGTACATAGTAGGTGTATATAACAATGGGATACATGAAATGTTACAAGATAGTATTTGTATTTTCCCTTTTAAACTTTGTGTCTGTTACTTGTTAAATTTTTACAAAAGTAAAACTAACAGAATAATGCTGGCCCAACACTTTGAGATGATAACAAGTCCATATAAGACAGACAAAATTGAACTTAATAAGAGACTGCAGGTAACTTTAGCCTGAGAGCCACCACTTCCTTTAAACCTCCCTTGTTGCTCAAATGTGGCTATAAGGATTTTGATGCTGACTCCTAGCCACCATTTACTCTCTCCAACATGGGAGCAGACCAGTAACCTGGGCCATGTCTATCCTTGGCACCGAATAACAACAAAACCTAACTACAAGATGATTGATTAGTCATGCCTTTGGAAAAAGATCTTTATCAGGTATCAAAGAAAAAATGTGATACCTGTTAAAATGGAGTAACTTGTGTTTCAATTTAAAAATGAAGAGAAAAAACTATGACAAATAGAGTTCAGGAAGGCTATGAAAAGAGTGTTCTCACGCATAAATGCCTGATACCAAAAACTGTCACAACGGACAAAGAAACAAACTTGCACAAATGCTATCACCACCTTGTACAAAAAATAGTTCTGTGAGGACATCTGCCTGGTAACTGCCTGTCTAAACTAAGACTGACATCACCCTTGCTATTTATGCCTATAACCAAGGGTAGTTATCTCAAAACAATGACTTAATCTTTCTCATTTTTTTCTTTTAAAGCCTTTGTCTTTATCTCTTGGAATATACACACAGTTCACTATGGAGCGAATATTATCATTGCAATGCATTGTTCCCAAGTAAATGCTATTTTCTTTTAGACAGCCTCTCACTATTTATTATTTATGTTGATGGTATCTCTTCTGTATTGGAAAAACAGTGTAAATGATTATAAACCTGCATCTTGGTTCTCATTTAATTATTATCATCTTGTAGGTACATAATAAGTTTAACATGTTTGTAAACTGTTGTAAGTGCAATTGAATTGTTTTTTAGTATTCTTGATATATTTATTTGAATAAAGTTTGCAACTTTATTTATACAAAAGAAGAGGAAAAATAATATAATTTGCATATTAATCATCTAATATATATAGAAGCATAGTTATAGATTGTAGCAATAGAAGTCTGTTTGATTTCTATTAAAAATCCATTTGATTTCTAACAACATGGGCTAGATATTTTACTTTCTCTAGATCTACTTCAAATATTTCTAAGCTATCTTCAGTGGAATACTCATTCTTGTATTTCACAAAAGAAGGATCAATATCCAAATAAATTTTGTATATCATATCTCCCTATTGAAAATTAGAATGTAATATTAGCTTTAGAGATTTTAAGAAATCCTAAAAAAACACACACACACATAAAAGACTTTGCTTATATAAATAATATAGTTATTTTACCATGGACTTTATTTTATCCTTAACATTCATATGAATTTTTGTTCAGAAGCAACATAGAAACACTTCAGGAAATATCAAAAACAATGTGTGATAAAATCTAACTCAAGAGTGCTGAGCTGTTAGATTATTTATCTAATGTCTGAGTTTAGCTTTAGAAATGTACTAGTTTAGAGAATTCATGGTCAAATTATCTTTTTTGAGATAGGGTCTCATTCTGTCAGCCTGGCTGGAGTCCCATGGTGCAATCATAGCTAACTGTACCCTCGAACTCCTGGGCTCAAGCCTCCCAAATCATGGGGATGACAGGCATGAGCCTCTGCACCCAGCGGAAATATCTAATGATTTAAATTATTTATTAAATACCTGTTACCATCTATGACTTCCCATTTACCCAGAATGGGAATTGGAGATATACTTACTTCTTTCCTAGATTTTAACTATACATGTTCCCTCAGAGTAGCTAGCCAAAGGGAAGCCTATGGAATTATAAGCAATATACATTTTGTTTATCTGTTTTTCTCATGAGTATTTAAAAATCTACTTAAGCTATTTTCTCAAAGTAATTCTCAAACCAGTCTCTATGAGTGAGTAATAAAAGAAAAATTAGCTAAAATAGAAGAATGCTTGAAAACCCATAAATCTATTTTATACATAGACTATAAAGCAAGCATGTCATGATTTAATCTCTTATACAAAACAGTTCACATAAGCCAAAGTATATAAGATGACTTGATATAGAAAAAGTACAACATGAAGACATTACATACACAAGGTTATTTTTTAATATGTTGATTACACAATTATTTTCATAGTAAAATTTTTGTGTTTATTGAAGTATTGTAATAGAATAGCTACACATAAATATATAACACGTATTTTCAAAATGAAACATATCTTGCATTTTGTTTTACAGAAAGGTCATTTAAAACCACGTGAAACCATATGTTAAAGAAGAAACTGATGAAGATGGCAACAGATGAAACTAAATGTTATTAAAATATGAAAAGGTATTGTTTGAATGATCCAAAAATAGTATTAAATATTAAAAATTAAAATAGACATTTCTTTATTATTATATAATATTTTTTCATTAACTGTATTTGCAACAAAATGAGTATATACCAACATGTAAATTTTGGAATATTAATTTTTGAAAATTTATTATAATTAATCATTTTAATACTATATCAAATGAAAATAAAATTTTAACTATTCAACAATAAGATGTATTTCTAAGTCTTTACTTATATTTGCCATGACTCAATATCAACCAACTATTTACATTATATTTTTTATCATCTTTCTGGAGAGTACCACTGTATCTCTTCCCATAGACCTAGACTCATTTTAATATATCTAACTTTATATTAAATAGCTTCACTTGGCTATGCCACAGGACCTGAAGTTCAAATCTGAATTAATAATCATTTCAATCTGTTCCCTTTTTTAGGAAGGGTCATCTCATAAACCAAAACTTTAGGACTTACAGTAGAACCTTTCTCTTGTATTCATATGTGTTAATACCCAAACAACACCAGTTTTTGGCTCTTAAATATTTTTGGGTTTATGTCTTCCCTATCTAATTAAACCCTTATTTCTTGGCAAGATCATAACATCATTACCATATTAAGATAGCCATCTATCTCAATTTATTAAGGAAATAATAAATTTATGGTTGTTCTACTACCATCAATTTCTTTAACTTTTTAAAAAAGGTTGCTTTTAATTGGGTTGGTATATGTTAGATGTCTATTTTTTTTTAATTTCCAAAATTTCTCATAATAACTTGTGTTTGTTCTAGATGCATTTGAAGCTAATTAAATTTTTATATTAAAATGTGATTGAATCAGAAACATGAACTAGGGAGAACCCAATAGTTTTTAGAAACAACATATCCAACAACGCAATTTCAAGGGCGCCTTAGAGGGCATTTACTAACAAGACAAATGTGCTTGGAGAGAAGCAGCCAAAACTAGCTAACTTGTTTGAGTTTTGGACGGTTATGGAAGAAGAATTTCACACTCCTAGCCTTGTCATCACACTTTATTGCTTAATAATATTTTTACAATAATTTTCTTCATTGGCAAGGTGCACAAAAATAAAAATTCACATTTAATTAGAAAGTGAATCTTCGATTTCCAGGGACACTTGATGGTGAAAAAGCCAATAAACAAATGTTTTAAAAAATCATTATTTACCTCAAAAGTGAATAGTTCTTTCAGGAACACTGTAACCAAAGACAAATAATTATACAAAGGTACAAAATGTACCTTTATATATTACTCAGAATCATACATTTTCTTTTAAACAAATTACTCTTGTTCTGAATTAATTTCATTCATTTTCAATTCATAATTTTCTTTTAAATTAGCTAGAACTAAAGAACTTATGTTAAAATGCTCAATATTTACAATGAAATTACTGGCTTTTTCACTGAAAATCGACTTTAATGAAGCATGGCACCCTGGATAAAAAGATTACAATGTTCTTACAAAAGTAAAAAATACATATGCAACTGGTTATAGCATGCACATTGCTTACAATTGTGCCAATGTCCACATTGACATGTTCTAAAAATTAGGATAAAGCAATGACTGTCCATGCAAAATTGGGTTAAATAATCATTTTTTGACAAAATGACATTGAATACAAGAATGCTACAAAATGTCATTTGTCATAAATCAACTTTTAGAAATACCTGAATATTTGAAGTACTACCTTTAAGAAACTAGATAGATCCTATTAGGATAATGAACTTATGTAACATAGTCATCTAAATTGTGACTTAACTTCATTTATATTTAAAATAAAAATGAAACTATTTAATGGAACATGGAATAACTTCAAGTTTTAAAGTTTTTAACAAAATACAATCTTTGAAAATAAAACCTGCAAAAAAGAATATATTAAGTATGTGAAAGCAAGAGACTGAACAAATTAATTAATGAGAGCTTAAATGGTGCATATGATTTAATTTAGAACTTCTATAATTGCTGTTTGGAATATCTCAAATTGTTTCAAAACTCTTTAGATGGAATCCCAGCACTTTGGGAGGCCAAGACGGGCAGAGGTTGTGAGCACTTGAGGTTGTGAGTTCAAGACCAGCCTGGCTAATACGGGAAAACCCTGTTTCTACTTAAAAAAAAAAATTAGCTGGGCAATGGTAGCGGGCACCTGTAATCCCAGCTACTCGGGAGACTAAGCCAGGAGAATTGCTTGAACCCGGGAGGCGGAGTGTGTGGTGAGCCAAGACTGTGCACTGTACTCCAGCCTGGGTGAAACAGGCAGACTCCACCTCAAAGAAAAGAAAAAGTCTTTAGATGGACCTGCTATTTTGAAATATTTATATTTAATATGTAATACATTAAATATGTAATATATTACACATTATATATTATGTAACATGTATTATATATTATGTAACATATCATATATATTATATATCATGTAATATATCATACATATTATATATCATATAAGATGAGATATAAGAATAATATACAATATAATATTACTATTTATTATATATAATATATAAGATATATATTACATAATATATAATATGTAATATGTAATATATTATACATATACATATGTAATAACATATTAAATATGTGTATTTGAAATGTACTTTAATTTTATACACACGTGTGTATGCATACGTATAGTATATAATTGTGAATCCAGTCTTTCTTTCAATATTTCTTACTTGTGGATTTTTGTATTATAAAAGTATTTGTTGAAGATAAGTTCTCTCAATGAAGACCAAGAAATATACATGTCAAAAATATAGCCATAAAAACATTGTCCAAGAAATATATTTGGTCATAGGTTACAAGGAGAGAGTTGTCTTAATTAAAACTACTATAGGTCTACAGAGAAAAGTCAATTACCATTTTTAACAATTTCTAATATATTTAGCATGAAAAACAACCTTAAATAATATTGCTGGTAGCTTCATAAAAAATCTAAAGTATTAATCATATATATTTTTGAAAAGTCCGTGTGACATGGCTGGCATTTAAGAATGGTTTGGCTAAAAAATTATTAAAGACAGTGAAAAGTGCCATGAATAATTATTTAGCTTACATTACTTATGATAATAAATACCATAATTTTAAAAAAAGTTTTATCTAATATATTCAAATACTTTAATTTTATACATGTAGTTTTGAAAATGACTAAGTTATATAATATTATGAAGTCCATCAAAATAATAAAGCATCATAGGTAAGAAATAACCCAGTACTTCCCCCTAACTTTAAGCCCTATTTCCATCTCCTACTTCCTTTATGCTCAACCATCTACTAAGATTGCACGATTTGAGAAATCCGATTTAGATTTCCTATTTGTGTTTCACCCCTTTTCTGTTTTCCCTTAGATCCCTATATCTTCATCAAAGTAACAATTTCATTGATGTAATACTGGCTGCCTTGCCCATTGATTATGAGATAATACATGGCAGAGCCACTGTCTTATTCATCTTTTAAATCCAAAAGATCTATTAGACATTTCCCTTTAGATGAAATGTTTTGAACATGCAAATCCATAGAGAACAAATTAAACCATTGTTTGACACTAAATTCTAATGTACAAATGCTTCTTTTTTGGATGATGAAATGTTCTATCTGTTATAGCATAGAGTTGGAGGGTGGAGCTAAACTGAGCTCGAGTTCGGATGGTAACTGAAGCAATACTATTTAATCTGACAGCTGCCTCTGGTTCCATTTTATAGGAAACACATTCACTTATAACTTAAATACCTTAAAATGAGACAATATATTATATAATTTAGGAATTCTTATATCAAGATACACAAAGCGTACAGATTAGAGTGCATTGCAAGTACTGGCCTAGCACAGTTCACACGGTAGCTAGTAAATAAATATATGTTGAATGAAGGAAAGCTGCCAAGAAGTGGGAGCATTTATCTGATAGAGTTGCTTCCAATTGGATATATTACATAATAATCAGATACAAGAGAGAGTGCATGCGTTGCCTAACAATAAGTTGAACAGGTGGTTAAGGTGAGCTTCAGAACATCTGGTCAAGTGAAAAATGTAAAGCTCTCAGCTGCAAAGTTCTTAGCATTTGCCAAACCAGCTGACCTGTTGTTGTCTTGACTTCTGAGACATGAACAGTTGCAATGTTTTTTGGTTCACTTATGAGGTAAATTATCACAAAACAATATTATGTTTTTACAATCTTGTTTGATTTCTTTACAAATTTTAGACATGCAATGTAAATAAAGGTAAATATATAGCATTGAAGAATGTACCAATTCTTGCATTACTTTGAGTAATCATAATATTTAGCAATCTCTGTTTTTCCAGAAACCAATTTTATGTCCCATGCTCATCGAAGCTACTGTGTAAGACTTATCTGTTACATTTATTTCAGAATTGTTTTGCCTTTCAGTTATCTTTTCAATGTACGTAATATTTTACACATATGTATATGAATACACACATACATGTATATTTTAGTGGAAAATCACTAGTATTAATGATATAGTTTAACTTTTAAAGATGAAACTCTTCTAGGTAAACTTGACAACTTGTAATCTGACACCAGAGCCATTTGACATTTTTGCTAGATGTATAATATAAGAAAAATTAGGACGAAATTAGAATTATAATTATTGGTAAGTTATTGTTTATATGATGGCAATGACCGGTTATTTGCTTTGTATTTGAAATGTAAGGAATTATCTCATGAAAACAACTCATGTATTACTTGGCTTTTTACATTCTAGTGTTATGTTCATAAGCTTTGTGAAATTAAAGGAATTCTTTATTTCTTTTTTTTTTTTTTTTGCAAAACGTGGCTGCTTTCTTGAGGTTGTGATGCAAATATACCTTTATAAATTAACCTACACTTTTGCTTTTTAAAGTGTCTCAATTTTCTTTACTAAATAAATGATTATAAAGTAATTTTCCAACTTAGGTAGTTACCTCTGCTAGTGCTATTTATTTTCAAGGATAGGAGTTACTATTAAGTGCCTTCTATTTTAACCTGAAAAGCTCCATTTAATATATTTTGTCGAGTAAGCCTACTAATGATAAATTCCTTTAGTCCTGTTTTTCTGGAAATGTAAGAGTTGTAAATAAAGTCCTGAAAATATAGAGTAAATATTCATAACCTTGGAATAGGCAACAATTTCTTTGCTATGTCTCCAAAAGCACAGCAATAAAAGACAAAATAGACTTTGTCAAAATTATACCCTTCATTCTGTAAACAATACTATGAGTTTCAAAAGACAATTCATGGAATGAGAGAAAGTATTTTCAAACTATATATTTGATAAAAAATACTTGTATCCAAAATATATTAAAAAATCTTTGAACGCAACAGGATAAAGTCAAATAATCCAATTTTTTATACAGATAAGACCCTGAATAGAAATTTATTAAAAGAAATTATTCCAAAGGCCTATAAGCGCACAAGAAGAAGTTCAATACCGTTAGTCATCATGGAAGTGCAAATTATAACTACAAGATACCACTTCATACCAACTAAAATTATTATGATCAGAATGAGAGAAAATAACTAATTTTAATAAGGATGTGAATAAACTGAAGTCATCCATTCTTAATGGAAATGTTACATTCTGCCACCACCTTGTAAAACACTTTGTCAGTTCTAAAAAATGTTAAAAATAGTGACCATATTCTATTGACCAGCAGTTCCACTCCTAAAAAAGTAATGAAAGTAATGAAAATGCATGTCTACACAAAAATTTGTACATGAATGTTCAGAGATGTACTATTTATTGTCGTTCAAAAGTGGAAAGAAAACAAGTGTTCATCAACTGCTGAATAAATATCCAAAATGTCCTATAGCTATACAATAAAATATCTTTCGTTAACAAAACGATTGAAGTGCTGATACATGCTACAACACATATGAACCTTCAGAATACTGTGTTAAATGAAAGAAACCAGATCAAAAGATCTATTAGATGATTCCGCTTAGACGAAATGTCCTGAATAGGCAATGTAAACTACTGTTTGACAGTAAATCCTAAGATATAAGAGCTTATTTTTGGGGTGATGAAATGTTCTAAAATTAGATGGTAATGTTTGTACTACCTTGAATATGCTTAAACCACTGAATTATGCACTTTAAAGGGGTACATGTTACATTGTATAAATGATATCTCAATAAAGCTGTTATAACAAAAATACAATGTTGCAGTGTTCATTGCTAAATGTCTGTTTGTGCACAGGTACATATATATCTTCTGGTATATGCTTGAGGGTAAAATTTCTTGGCTTGCTTTTTATCATATTGCAAAATTTAACTATCTGGTGCACTAAAAGAAAGCCCTATGTATGTTTTAGCTCAGGTGTTAGAGGTAAGGAGTATTATATTATATTACCTTGTCTCATCGTAACTCTAACAGACTGAAAAGAACAAGTAAAATACATTTAGTGAATAAAACATACAGAAAAAAGATAAATTACGAAATGTTATTGCTAAGAAGACAAATTTTAATGAATTAAGGACTGAAAAAGATATGTGATTAAGAAAATAAACATGAAATAATTTTCAAATATAGTAATTACTATGTACTCAAATTAGCATGCACCTGAAACTATTTTACCCTAACATTATCTCTTTCTTTTGGTAAAATATACAAAGCAAGGCTTTTTAAATTAAATTGTATTTTGTTCACCTTTCTTGGTAGAAATATTTAAAGAAGAACTAGTAAAAGTGTATGTTTATCTTCATACTAAATACATTTAATTTTTAACTTTTATCCATTAGAAATAACGATAGAATTAATTGACAATAACATAAGAAATATAAAAATAATAGTATGTATCTAGGCTATGCACCAGGCACAATTATTAGCACTTTACACAATTAACTGATTTAAATATTGAGTGATACTCTTTCCAGATGCTAAAACAGTAGCAAGAAGAGGTTAAACTCCTACTCTATGATTTCTGAATACAGGAAGCCTGAATCCTGAGTTCATACCTTTATTTGTAAATCTCACCTAAAATTGCACAGTATTACATAATTCAATGAGAATTTAACCTATGCCTGAGAAGAGGCTGAGCTATAGTCGGAATAAAGTCTCCAAAAAAAAAAGGCCACCTTTAAAATCTGTTTTTATGTGGGTCAAAAATACTCTGTTATTTAACTAATGATTTGTAAAATAGCAAAATTATTTATTTATAAGAGTAGCTACTGGCCAGGCACTGTGGCTCATGCCTGTAATCCCAGCACTTTGGGAGGCCGAGGCGGGCAGATCACCAAGTCAGGAGTTTGAGACCAGTCTGATCAACATGGTGAAACCCCGTCTTCACTAAAATTACAAAAATTAGCCAGGCGTGGTGGCACGCCCATAATCCTAGTTACTCAGGAGGCTGAGGCAGGAGAATCGCTTGAACCTGGGAGGCGGAGGTTGCAGTGAGCCGAGATCGCACCAATGCACTCCAGCCTGGGTCATAGAGCAAGACTCCGTCTCAAAAAATAAAGTAACTACTTAACTCACATAAGCATGATCTGAAATCGCCTTCTGCTTCTCTGACTTGAATCTTATTTTAATATTTGACACCAATCAAATTCTGTAAAGCATAAGTGGTACATTTTTTTTCCAGTACTATCTCCCACTAGACCTCAACAATACAGCCATTTCAAATGATCATTTTTCTGGGATGTGCCAGTTTATGATTTACCATATCTATTGAAATCATTAGATTCAAGGATAAACAGACCTTATTCCAGAATACATGAATATAAGAGTATTTTGCTCCCAATAAAATTTTGTCTATCCTAATTTTTCCCCTTAAAACTATAATGTATTGATGTATTTTCCATGATGCATGTTTTACATATGTTGAGATGTTATGAGATTTTTTTATTGACAAGATGTTTTCCAAGGAGCACAACATTTCTAATTTTTACAACTCTTATTTGCAGTAGTAGATACATGTGTGTAGCTATTTTGTATTATCTACCTTATATTCTATGAAAGGGAGGTTCAATGATAATGGTCTATTAATTATATCCTCTTAATGTATGTGTTTTTGTCAATGAGAAAAATATATACAGAAATACATACTTCATTGTATAATGTTTTATGATTTTAGCCAATAGGGAGACTGGGAGATTATAAATTTTGTTCCTTTATATATTTTTATATCAAGTGTAAAAACGTTATTATATTTATGGTTTTCCAACACTGGAATGGGAAGGAAATTTGCTACATATATCAGAAAAAATGAGTAAATCATTGATTACAAAACTTTTGGAATTCTAAAATTGGAGTAAAACATCTATTACCAAATAATATGCCCCACTATTTTTTAATTTCAACCTATTTTGCTGGAATTAGAAGATGATTGCATGGAAAATTCTAAGATATTTAGTTCTGCTTAGCTATACCAATGGTAATAATGTCAATAATATTTAATTTATTGATTTTTAAATTCAGTATAACATATTTAATAAGCACATTTTGCCCCTGCAATCCTATAGCCTACATCAGAATCCACAGAAGTTAACAATTTACAAGTGTTTATCTTGACTTTTTTCCTGTACTGCACAGGTAAATTTATTTATATCATGTCAATAATATTTTTAAAATATTATCTGAGAGCCAGTAATGCAAAAAGAAAAATGTAGATTGTCTGAGGGTTTAGACCTGCCTAGTAAAGTTCACGTCTTGCACCCTTATTGAAATTAATTGATAGACAAATTATATGAAATCACAACTTGAGATATTAATATCTAGCTTTACCCTATATTCTGTAAAGAGGATCCTTCAGACTTGAGCTGTCTAATACAACAGCCATTAGCACCTGTAGCTATTGAGCATTGAAATATGAATAATCTGATTAAGGAAGTAATATTTTAAACTTCTCCATTTTGAAGGGTATATTTTTAAATAATCATGATTTTAAAAGTAGAAATCAGAGGCCAGGAATGGTGACACTCATGCCTGTAATCCTGGTACTTCAGGAGGCTGAGGCAGAAGGATTGATTGATCCCAGGAGTTTGAGTCCAGCTCTACCAACATAGCAAGATCTTATCATTAAATAAACAAATAAATGAAAAAATAAATTACAAAGTAATTTTTAAATTATTTTGAACTGAATGACACTGGACAATATAGTTATAACAGTATACAATTTGTGGAACTCAGTTAAAATATCACTTAAATAGAAATATGTAGCTTCAAATGTTGTTATTAGGGGAAAAATATGATTTAAAGTCAATCGCCTATCTTAGTAAGCTAAGAAAGGAAGCACAAACTAAATTCAAAGTAGAAGTCATTTAAATTTTTCTATTGTGTACCATTTAGATGAATACAATCTGCTTGTATTTTATTTCACACATTCTTGAAACAACTTTCATACATTTCACAACAGGTCTTATCTACATGTAACTAGAATACATAGCAGTAGAAACTTTTTTAAGACTTTTTTTTCACTGCCACTTAAATAAGAACAATTCTGCTAGGCACAGTATTTATACTTTCATGACATTGTCAGTTTTGTAAACATAAACTTACATGGAAGAGCTGGTATGAACATATAAAGAGACATTTATATACACATATGAAATTATATTACTCCTTTTCTGCACTGCTATAGAGAAGTACCCAAGTCTGGGTAATTTATAAAGAAAAGCAGTTTAATTGACTCACAGTTCCACATGCAGGGAGGCCTCAGGAAATTTATAATCATAACAAAAAGTGAAGGGAAAGCAAGCACCTTCCTCTCAAGGTAGCAGGAGAGAAAAGTGAGCAAAAGGAGGGAAAATTCCCTTATCAAACCATCAGATCTCATGAGAACTCACTCACTATCATGAGAACCAGCATGGGGGGAAATGCCCCAAGATCCAATTACCTCTCTCCCTTGACATGTGGGGATTATAATTTCAGATGAGATGTGGGTGGGGACACAGAGCCAAACCACATCATTCTGCCCCCAATCCCTCCCAAATCTGAGATACTCACATTTCAAAACCAATCATGCCGTCTCAACACTCCCCCAAAGTCTTAACTCATTTCAGCATTAACTCAAAAGTCCACAGTTTAAAGTCTTATCTGAGACAAGGCAAGTCCCTTCCATCTATGAGCCTGTAAAATGAAAAGCAAGTTAGTTACTTCCAGGATAAAATGGGGATACATGCATTAGATAAATGCTCCTATTCCAAATGGGAGAAATTGGCCAAAACAAAGGGGCTACAGGCTCCATGCAAGTCTGAAATCCAGTGGGGCTGTCACTAAATCTTAAAACATCAAAATAATCTCCTTTGACTCCATGTCTCACACCCAGGTCATGCTGATGCAAAGGGTGGGCTTCCACAATCTTGGACAGCTCCACCTTGGTGGCTTTGCAGGGTACAGCTCTTATGGCTGGTGTTCGGTGTCTGCAGGTTTTTCAGGTGCATAGTGCAAGCTGTTGGTGGATCTACAATTCTGGCGTCTGGAGGATGGAGGCCCTCTTCTCACAGCTCCACTAGGCAGTGCCCCATTGGGGAGTCTGTGTGTGGGCTCCAACTCTGCATTTCCTGTTTGCACTGCCATGGCAGAAGTTCTCCATGAGGACTTCGCCCCTGCAGCAGACTTCATCCTGGACATCCAGGTGTTTCCATACATCATCGGAAACATAGGCAGAGGCTCCCAAACCTCAATTTTTGACTTCTGTGACCTGCAAGCTGAAAACCACATGGAAGCCACCAAGGCTTAAGGCTTGCACCCTCTGAAGCAACAGCCCAAGCTGTACCTTGACCTCTTTTAGTTATGCTGGAGCTGAAGAAGTTGCAACATGGGACACCACATCCTGAGGCAGCACAGAGCAGAGGGGTCCTGGGCCTAGCCCAACAAACCATTTTACTGTCTTAAGCCTCTAGGCCTTGGATGGAAGGGGCTGCCACCAAGATCTCGGACATGCCCTAGAGACATTTTCCCCATTGTCTTGTTGATTAATATTGGACTCCTCGTTACTTATGCAATTTTCTGCAGCAGTCTTGAATTTCTTCCCAGAAAATAGGTTTTTCTCATCAGACTTCAAATTTCCCAAACTTTTATACTCTGCTTCCCTTTTAAACATAAGTTGCAATTTCACATTATCTCTCTCAAGTTCAAAGTTCCACAGATCTTTAGGGCAGGGGCAAAATGCTGCAAGTCTCTTTGCTAAAGCATAGCTCCAGTGACCTTTGTTCCAGTTCCCAAGAAGTTTCTTATTTCCATCTGAGACCACTTCAGCCTGAACTTCATGGTCCATATCACTATCAGCATTTTGGTCAAAATCATTCACCAAGTCTCTAGGAAGTTTCAAACTTTTTCACATCTTCCTGTCTTCCTTCTGAGCCTTCCAAACTGCTCCAATCTCTACCCATGACCCAGTTCCAAAGTCGCTTCTACATTCTCAGGTATCTTTATAGCAGTGCCCCAATCTCCACGGTACAAATGTATTAGTCCATTTTCATGCTGCTATAGAGATACCCTTGACTGGGTAATTTATAAAGAAGAGAAGTTTAATGGACTCACAGATCTGCATGGCTGGGGAGGTCTCAGGAAACTTACAATTATGGCAGAAAGTGAAGGGAAAGAAAGCACCTTCTTCACAAGGCAGCTGAAGAGAGAAGCCAGTAGGGAAAACTGCCTTAGAAAACCATCAGGTCTCTTGAGAACTCACTCACTATCACAAGAACCAGCATGGGGAAAACTGCCCCCATGATCCAGTCACCTTCCTCCCTCAGCACGTGGGGATTACAAATCAAGATGAGATTTGAGTGGAGACACAGAGCCGAACCATATTAGAAGTGAATAGAAAATGGTTACCCAAAGGAAAAAATGTGGAAAATATATCCTAAGAAGGTGTTAACATAGTAGTTGGATCAGAGTACATCCTTCACCCCAGGTAAGGTACTGTGTTTCTCATTACTATGAGTTAAGAGGTAGAAGACAGAAATTTGAATTAGAGTAGGGGTTTCCAGTTAAAATGTCTTACTCAGTGGTATTGGAGCAATTTAGGATGAAAGACGGTCTTTGCTTCTCGTTAACCTGCCATCTTATTAAAGGCAGACACAGAATTAAGATTAAAATAATATTCTGGACTGTAGTAAATTTTGGAGTCACAATATGTTTAAAAAATATATATTTCTTGGCTGGGTGCAGTGGCTCACTCCTATAATCCCAGCACTTTGGGAGGCCAAGGCAGGTGGATCACCTGAGGTCAGGAGTTCGAGACCAGCTTGGCCAACATGGTAAAACACCGTCTCTACTAAAAATACAAAAATTGACTGGGTGTGGTGGCACATGCCTGTGGTCCCAGCTACTCAGGAGGCTGAGGCAGGATAATCACTTGAACCTGGGAGGTGGAGGGTGCCGTGAGCCAAGATCGCACCACTGCACTATGACATATAAAAATTGAATATAAGTGTAATATATATGCCAAAACAACATAAAGAATGTATGTGAGAGCAAAGCTCTATCAACCTAAGGTAATGACTTTACATGGGAAAGTAATAATTATAACAATGTATTATCGGTTTGAAATGTTAAAAATGCAGTATTTCTAACAATAGAGTCAAAAGTTAAGATGTATAGGGTAAACCTATACCAATCAGTAAAAAACACAGAAACAAACTGAAACAAAACCCTCTAAATATAATGAAAAACATTAAAATGCTACATTAGAAAACATCCACTTAATGTAAAACAAAAGAAGGAATATATATACATATACATATAGAGAGAGACGTGAGACTTACAGAAAACAAGAAGTGAAATGACAAACGTAAATCCGACATTATCAATAATTCCATCACATGTGAATTGATCAAGTCAATTAAAAGTCAGAGATTATCAGATTTGATAAAATAATATGATTCACCTGTACATTGTCTATAAAGAGACACTTTAGATTCAAAGATACAAAGATTAAAAAAATGATTAAACAAAAGAAATATATATCAAACAAATCACAATCACAAGAAAGCTGAATGGGTTATATAGCTAATGTTAGACAACATGAATATGAAACAACAACAAAAAAAATTTTTAGTAATGAAGAGGAACATTTTATAATTATAAAATAGTAACCCATTAGGAAGGTAAAATTATAAACACATATACACCTATCAACAGAACATAAAAATACATGAATCAAAAACTGACAAAATCAAGGGAGAAGTAGACAATTCAGTATTATGAGACAGAGATGTTAATAGCCCACTTTCAATAATTCATATAAAAATTAGACAGAAGATCAAGAGTTAAACAGGAGATGGGCCGGGCGTGGTGGCTCACGCCTGTAATCCCTGTACTTTGGGAGGCCAAGGCAGGCAGATCACAAGGTCAGGAGATCGAGACCATCCTGGCTAACATGGTGAAACCCCGCTCTACTAAAAATACAAAAAATTAGCCAGGCATGGTGGCAGGCGCCTGTATTCCCAGCTACTTGGGAGGCTGTGGCAGGAGAATGGCGTGAACCCAGGAGGTCGAGCTTGCAGTGAGCCGAGATCACACCACTGCACTCCAGCCTGGGCAACAGAGCGAGACTCCATCTCAGGAAAAAAAAAAAAAAAAAAAAAGAAAGAAAGAATTAAACAGGAGACCTAAACCATACTGTAAGCCAACAATATTAACAGACATTTAGGGAACACTCCACACAGCAACAAAAGAATATACATTCTTCTCAAGTGCTCATAGACATGTCCCAGGATATACTGTATGTTATATACTACATGTTAGGCCATTAAAAAAAAAAAGAGCAACCTAAGTACATTTCAATGGGTAGAAATAATGCAAAGTATGCTCTATGACTACAATGGAATGAAATTAGAAATAGAAAACAAAAAAAAATTGAGAAGTTTACGAACATGTAGTAATTAAACAACACCCTCTTAAATAAACTGTGTCAGGAAAAAGTAAAAAACAAAATGAAAAAATAACTTTACAAGAATAAAAATGAAGACACAAGATACAACAATTAATAAGATTGTTGTAGCTAAAGCGTGCTTAGAGAAAAAAAATAGCTGTAAAAGTCTGTTAATAAAAGAGAAAGATCTTAATAACAGAAACGTCCACAAAAAAATCAATGGAAAGAGAAGAGAAAACTGAACTTAAAGCAAAAATAACAATGCAAATATTAAAGATTAGATTAGAAATTACTAAACTAGATACTAGAAAAAAGAAGAGAAAACTTGATGCAACAAAAAGCTGATTATTCGAAAAGAAGAAAAAAAGGACAAACCTTTGATAATGAAGAAAAGTGACAAAACTTTTTGACCAATAAAAATAGAAAGATGACTCAAATTACTAGAATCAGAAGCAAAAGAGGTGACATTACTGCTGACCTTACATAAATACAAAGGATTATTAGCGAATACCATTAACAATCTTATTCCAGCACATTAGGTAACTTTAGAATAATTAAACTAAAAAACATAGAGTAAAATCATTCATTTAAAAAAACTGAGTTACTTAAGAACTTAATGAATTTGTAATTATTTATTATATTTATCAAAAATAAGATGATTTGAGATGCGTTTTCTCATTATAATAAAAACTAGAATATTGGACAAAATATATGAGAAAAAGACTCAGTTGTTTGACAACAGGCAGCACAAGATGTGGTTTTTGAGAAAAGAGAAACAAACAAGTTAAGCCCTATCATCTCCACAGCTTTCATCTTGAAAAAAGTTCTGTACTGCAATGCAGGGAGGAGGAACACAAGCAGAAAACTGTCATCTTGTTGAGTTGAGGAGACTGATACAGTGATTTGGAGAAACCAAAGTAACTGAAACTTCTGATAAAAAATACCAGAGAAGAGATTATGAAAGGTGAGAGATTCAGAAACCTCTATAGAGTATTCTCTGATTGTTTTTCTAAATATTAGTCTCTACATACATAGGATAAAATTCCATGAACTCAGACAATTGCCAGGCAGCTATATGATGAACAATCTTCAGAGTTCACACTAAGATTGGAGACATTTGATTTATATGTGACCAGAGTAAGGAGACCAGACTGAACACTTGCAGAATTCTGTAGAGACATCAGAAGACTTATGTCTTACTAGTAGGACTAAATTATTTCTAGATAAATGCCTACCTTATTAAAATGTGTGATAGCTTTTTAAAAACCTGCAAATTCTCTGAACATTTTTCCCATTAACAAGTGTGGACTATGCCCACCTGAAAAGCTTTTCTGTAATCAATATAATGTAGCCTTAGTAGCTCACTTATAACAAAAATGTAGCACACACGATGAAAAAAAACCTTGTTTCCTTGGTATGTTCATTCTGGGGCAACATAGACATCAGGTAAGAAGTTTGACTAATTTGGGACCATCATGCCAAAGAGGCCACATCTAAATACCTCAAGTGTCAATCTCAGCTGATTCCCCAACAGAAACCCAACCATATGAGTGAGCTACCTGGGATGTCCTACTAAAAAAACTCCTCAAAAGAATGCAACCCTAAGCAACATTTGCAAAGATTGCATGAGTAACTTCAATTAATAGTTGCACAACTGAATCATTTCTGAATTTCTAGCCAACAGAAGCAATGAGCATAATAAAATGGTAATTTTATACCACCAAATTTAATTTTTTATGTGAAGGCAAGCTTATTAGGAAACTAAAGGGATAAAGGAATGGCTATTCCATAGGCAGAGCAGAGCAGCCCACTACATTTCAGAGAGGTTCGTTATATAGCAACAGTAAATGAAACAATGTATAAATATGAGCCTTGAAAGGATCAAGTTAATGAATTGATTGCAAATAACTCCATGGAAGATTTTTAAAATCTTTAACAATACTTAAATAAAGTAAACATATCTAGCGTTTGACAATGAACAAATCATACATGGCATCCAAAAATTACTAGACATGTGAAGGAGCAGGAATATTTGACCTATAAGCAGAAGAATCTGTTAATAGAAATAGACCCTAAAATATCAAACATGGTGAAAAAAAGCAGGTAGGAACTTTGAAACATATAATATAAATATGCTCAATAATTTTTTAAAAAACATAAATAAAACAAGGAAAAAAGGTGAACAGTAAAAGAAGAGAACCAACTGGAATTTCTGAAAAGGATGAATACATATATGAAAATAAAAGTTTTAGTAAATAGACTAATGATAGATAATGCAAAACGGAAAAAATGAGTTTGAAGACAATGGCAATATAATCAATCCAAACTAAAACTCAGAGAAAAATAATGAACAAAATAAATACATAGTGACCTGTGAAACTATACCAAGTAGTCAAATATATGTTAAATATCATTTTAAAAAAGTATATGGCAGAAAAATATTTGAAGAAATATGGCCAAAATCTTACACATTTATTGAAAAATAACCTACAAAACAATCCCAAGAATGATAAACACCAAGAATTGAAAATGAAGAAACTTCACAAGGAAATCATTTCTTAAATCATAAAAGGAAACATTTTTAAAACACCCCCCCAAAAACAAATACAAATTATATATAGGAGAAAAATAAGAGCATATATATCTCACTAGAAACTACATAAGACAGAATTCAATAGAATTTTATCAAAGAAAAAATAAAAGCCTAGTTACAGTCTACATTGAGATATAGACTTCTTCAAAAATAAAATGTAAAGATATTTTTAGATAAACAAAAGCTAAGACCATTTTATAAGAGTTTTCATACAAGAAATAATTAAATTTATTAGATAAAAATATAATTTATACGGACACTTGGATACATACAAATGAAGACGGACTAAAATGACAAATATGTGGTTGAATATAAAATATTTACTTTCCTTTATAAATTTGGGCTTAATCTTAAAGCAAAAAATAACAATTTACCATTGTATTTATAAAATATGTATGACGGCAGTGGTATAAAGGACTTGGAGGGAGAAAAGAAAGTATACGGCTGTAAGGCAATGCAATATTACTTTAAGTCAAACTATGATAAGTTAATGATGCATATGCTAAACCTTACAGCAACTATTAAAGTAATAAAACCAAGGAATTGTAAAGACAAAATGGAATGCAAAAAGAAGACAGAGAAAGAGCAAATAAAAAACAACAAATGGAACAAATAATAAAAATTTGCCAGGTAAATGATCGAAACCAACCATCTAAGAAATACACTAAATGTAAATGCTCTGGGACACAAAAATTATGTTGAGATTATCAGTTAGTAACAAACATGACCCAACTTTGTACTACCTCTAAGGTAAAAACTAAATATAGAGATAGAAGTTAAAAGTAAAGAATAAAAAGAGATGAATCCTTTCAACACAAAAAAATTTAAAAGCAACAAGGTTATACTAATATTATGCAAACAAAATTCGAAACAACAAACATGACAGGTATAAAAGGGAACATTTTATAATTTGTAATGTAAATTGTAACATAATAAAGAAAGCAATTTATCAAAAATATTAACTGTTTTAAATGTGTAGGCATGTAATGATACTTTCAACATACACGAAAAACAGACAAAAAAGCAGACCTGCAGAATTAAAAGAAGAAATAGAAAAATCCACAATTACATTTGTATAATTCACAACTCTTTCCTCACCAATTGGTAGAACATGTATAAAGGACGTTAACAATAGTGTGGGTATTTAAAAATCACTATTTGCCTACATTTTCTATTTAACATATATACAACATTACATCAACAAATGTAGACTATAGATCCTCTTTAATTGCACATAGAACATTCATCAGTATAGGCCATAAATTGAGCCATAGACATCATAATGAGATTAAAAATAATAAAAAATTGCAGTGTGTGTACTGTGACCATGATGGAATTAATGTAGAAGTGAAAAATAAAAAAAACAAACACTGGTGAAAAATCCCAGACATTTGGAAATGAAAAATACAATTCAAAGAAGTCATGTCCAAAAGTAAATGGCAAATAAAATCTTTAAAATATATTTTGAATTGAATGACAATAAAAACATGCATATCACAATGAGATGCAGATAAAACTACATGGAGAGAAATCTGCAGCTTAACATTTGAACTGTAAATAGGTGTGGCCTCTTTCATGGCCAAGTGTACTAGGACATTTTATATATGAAACGTGCATTGATAGATTCTGGCATGTTCAGGTGTCCTGGAACCAATGTGCTGGAGATATGGAGAGCTGACCATATAAGATTTAAAATAGTTACAAGTCTACTTAAGGACTATATTCTAGAACCAAACATGTGTCTCTCATTTGTTAAGATAATTTATTATGTAAAGAATAACCAGAATTGATAATATGCCTCTGCACCAGAGAATAAGATAGTTCTATTCCTGAAGGGGCCAAGTGTTCAGCTCACTATAAAAAATTAAATAATCCACAAAATACCTTCTCTGAGCTAACATAGTTTGTGTCTAACCAGTCTTGTCGCTCATTAGTACAGGTCTCAAATTGGTGTGGCTCAGTTATCTGAAGCTGTGCCTAGACTACCTTCTGGAAAGCATTGCTGTTGTCTTCTCTTTATTATTCTCTAACCCATTTGCTGTTTGCCCCAAGAATACTCACCAGCAGCATTTGCAGCTGCAGCATTTACCCCGAGATAACTTTCCACAAAACATCTTACTTTGATAATTATTTTTGCATCGCACTAGTATATTGATCTGGAAACAAAAGACATCATTATATTTATAGCATCCTGTTTTTAGTAGTAGTATTTTCATTTACAAAAATATAGTAATTCTTGATCACTGAAAATGTCAACTGCTAGGAAATGTAGCATTCCTACGTGTGATGTTAACATTGTTCTTGAACAGTTGTTGGCCGGATTCATCTGATGAATCCGATTTTCCAAAATGGTTGATTCTGATGATTCTGACACTAGTTCTGTCTAGAAATAACTCCAAGAACAGTTTTTATATTTTATTCTACATTGAAAATCAGTCATATTTGCTTCAGCCTCAAAGAGCAAGTTTATGTAAAATCAAATGAGTGCTGTCAGTGAGCTGTACTTTTTTGTCTAAATGGAAAACTGGTTCAAGCTAAATACACTTGTTGCTGGGGAAAGCCTACTGTTTCTCAGCAATTTCTTAATATAATCGCAACTTCATATCCATGGTAGAGCAAAATGGACATTACAAAATCTGTTAACCATTGCGTTCAAGTGTAGAAACACCAGAGGTAATGAACTTGTTTTGAAGTCCAGGAATTCAGCTAAAATAAGTTGGTAGTAAGTCAGCCAAGAAATAACCACGACATGAAATAAAATAAAGGCAATGAGGAGAAAGGAGACTAGACAGGTTTCAGAGAGATTTAGAACTTTGATGCAATAAGACTTAAGGATTAATGTATTATTAAGAATCAGTGATAAGAAAGAATGTAAAGTAACTGGACTTTCTGTCTTAAACCACTAAATAAGAGATACAAGGTGAAGAATAGTGTTAGAAAAATCAGGAATTCTTTCCTATGCTTCTGGAAATATACAAAGAATGGATATGTTAGAATTAGTAGCAATTATCTCTTTAATTTACAAAATTTAATTAAACACAAATTGAGCCTATTTTTATCTTACAAATGTTATAGAAGTCTATTTAATGCTGTTCCAGCTCAAATTTATTTGCCGTCAAAAATCTTCCTTTGAATTTATAAAATGTACTACTTAATACTCTCACAGATTTACTGTATTGTCTTGCCTCACTATCCTTTAATCATTTGCCTTTTACTTGTCACACTTATCTTTTCCTATTTAAAGTGTGTATGTGTGTGTGTTTATATACTTTAACCTGAATACATGATTATAGGAATTTCAAGAAATAGTTCTATATCTGAATATCTGTGATTTAATATTCATATCCCTTGCAATGCTTTCTCAGTGGATTTTAATACACTTTGTTTAATAAATGGCTGAGTAAATGAATAATGAATCTTCTATCAGGAGAATATAGAGAAAAAAGGACATTGTATGCTGTGATCAACAGACATTTAAATAAAAATTTGTAATGAATAACATTCAACTAGGTGTGGTTTCAGTCCCATATAACCTCTATATATTTTTATAATAGCTACAAAATTACCCTCAGGTAAATTATTCAACATATTAATTATTACAAACAAATTTAAGTAAAGATACTTTCTCTATTTAGGCATACATCTTGCTTCTCAAATGCTAATTACTGAAATCTTTCTAACGAGATAAAATTTCTAGACAGTATTCATGTCTACCTGTGCTAAATAAGTATATTCTCTTTGAAAATTAAAAAAAAAAGTTAACAATAAATCAGTTAATATGTTTTGAAGAAATTCTTTTAAATATAAATTTTTCAGAAGAGAAATTAGCAAGAGTGCTTTTATTTCTTATGTTGCTTTTTTAATATTTATAAATATATACTTAATCTAAAAAGTTCTTAGTTAAATATATGTGGAAAGACTAGACTACTAATATTTTGAGTAATGGGATTTAAGGCCATAAATTTAAATATACAATTTCCAGTAGAAGTAATATAAACTTGGATGCTCTCGCATGGGAATTTCTGTGATGATGAAAATGTTCCATATACGGGCTGTCCTGTGTAATAAAAAGTTAATCTCCATCTAAGTGTCCACATGTGGTTCATGACCATCATATAGAAAAGTAAAGGAAAGATGAATAAATTTTACTCAGTCAATATATCATCTAAAAATGAATCATCCACTTTTAGATTTTTATAATAAGAAATTATGACAGGGATCATAAAAGACTAGGTTGGGAGAGCCAGTCTTTTCACAGGCTATGTAAATGGCACACCTCGTTCAACCAATCCGCTGGGCAAACTTCTGCCTGGGCATCCAGGAGTATCCATACATATACTGAAACCTTGACCGAGGTTCCCACACCCCAATTCTTGACTTCTGAGCACTTACACACTCAACACCACATGGAAGCTGCCAAGGCTTGGGGCTTCCACCCTCTGAAGCCACAGCCCAAGCTCCAAGTTGGCCCTTTTCAGCCATGGTTCAGAGTGGCTGGGACAGAGGGTACCAAGTCCCTAGGCTGCACACAGCAGGGGACCCTGGGCCTAGTCCACAAAACCATTTTCTGCTAGGCATCTGGGCCTATGAAGGGAGGGGCTGCCTTGAAGACCGCTGACATGCCCTGGAGACATTTTCCCCATTGTCTTGGAGTTAACATTCAGCTCCTCCTTACTTAGGTAAATTTCTGCAGCTGGCTTGAATTTCTCCTCAGAGAATGGTTTTTTTTTTTTTCTATCACATTGTTCGGCTGCAAATTTTCTGAACTTTTATGCTCTGCTTCCCTTATAAAACTGAATGCCTTTAACTGCACACAAGTCACCTCGTGAATGCTTTGCTGCTTAGAAATTTCTTCCACCAGATACCTTACATCATCTCTCTCAAGCTGAAGGTTCCACAAATCTCTAGGGCAGGGGCAAAATGCCACTAGTCTCTTTGCTAAAACATAATAAGAGTCACCTTTGCTCCAGGTCCCAACAAGTTCCTCCTCTCCATCTGAGACCAAATCAGCCTGGATTTCGTTTTCCATATCATTATCAGCATTTTGGTTCAAAGCCATTCAACAAGTCTCTAGGAAGGTCCAAACTTTCCCACACGTTCCTGTCTTCTTCTGAGCCCTGCAAACTGTTCCAACCTCTACCTGTTACCCAGTTCCAAAGTTGCTCCCACATTTTCAGGTATCTTTTCAGCAACAACCCACTCTGCTGCTATCAATTTACTGTATTAGTTCATTTTCACACTGCTGATAAAGACATACCCAAGACTAGGAAGAAAAAGAGGTTTAATTGGACTTACAGTTCAATTAACTTATATGGCTGGCAAGGCCTCAGAATAATGGTGGGAGTTGGCAGACACTTTTTACATGGTGGCAGCAAGAGAAAATGAGGAAGATGCGAAAGAGGAAACCCCTGAAAAAACCGTAAGATCTCATGAGACTTACTCACTACCACTAGAACAGTGTGGGGAAAATCACCCCTGTGATTCAAATTGTCTCCCACTGGGTCCCTCCAGCAACACATGGGAATTACGGGAGTAAAATTCAAGATGAAATTTGGGTGAGGACACAGAGCAAAACCATATCACAAACTAATGCTATTAGTAAACTTTTACAGATATTCAAAAGATGGATATGTAATATATCCTAAACTTTCAAGGCAAGGTTAAATCATTCTGAGAACTTCAGAAAAATGTACAGGGAAAGGTGATGATCAAGATGGAAATACCAGAATGGAAGTAAAAACAGTCACATTTTTATGCTATTTTAAGAAATGTTATCACCTGAAGAAAACAATCAATAATTAAATTTTTTTCCTAGAAAAACTATTAAAATGGTTATATAAACAAATGCATTCAGATATTAAAAATAAAATAGAGTCAATCTGTAGCAGTTCATCATACCCTCTACTATCATGAAGCTTTATGATGAGACCTTCTAAAAAAAATAAGAGGACTCCTATCACTGATTTTTATTACTGTTAATACCTTAACACACTCTCCCCATCTCTTTCTATTATTCTTTTACTAACTGTTCTCAAAAGGAAGTTGGTCAGAAAAATATCTATTCAGATATTGATAGAAGAAAAATTCTACTGAATATTATTTTATTATGATTCAGAATGCAAGCAAATGACTGATACAAAAACTATTAGGAGTAATTGAGTTCACTGGAAATCCATAATAAAATAATATTAGCATTTTAATATTAACGTTTTATAAAGTTTTCCTTGTAGAAATTTTTTACCTATGTGGTTAAATTTCTTTCTAGGTATTTCTTTAGCTATTGCAAATGAAATTGCTTTCTTTATTTCTTTTTCAGCTCATTCGTTATTGGTTTATAAAAATACTACTGATTTTTCTATGTTGATTGTGTATCTCACAACTTTACTGAATTCATTTATCAATTCTAAGGGTTTCTTGGTGGAATCTAGGTTTTTCTATATATAAGATCATGTTGTCTGCAGATAGAGACAATTTGACCTTCTCTTTTCCAATTTGGATGTCTTTTATTTATTTATTTTTTCTTACCTGATTGCTCTGGCTAGGACTTTCAGTACTGTGTTAAATAGGAGTAGTGAAAGTGGGCATCCTTGTCTTGTTCCAGTTCTTAGAGGGAATGCTATGTCTCAATTAATGTACAAGAGCTGCTTTGGGCTGCAGACAGTATATCTAAGGTCATAGTTTTGTAAGGCAATTTGCATAATCTGTAAGGTTTTGTTTTTGTTTTCAGTAAAAGGGGTGATGTTTTGGCAGGTGTTATTAAAGAAAGCAGCCATCTGCTTAGCCAGGGCCTCCACCTGTAATTCTACATCCATGGTCGCCCCAGGGAGAAAATACGGCTAGTGGATAAATCCACCAGGATGCCCATTTCTGTGGTGCCTGGCCTTTATACTTGCCAGATGCTAGGGAGAGTGTCTAAATGAGGAAGAATGCATCTTGGTAGGTAGGGTCAACCCCAGGTGCATCTGGAAGTTCAGTTTTAGGGTAAGGCCAATCATGCATGCTGCAGACCCATAACCAATCCCAGGGGGGAATGATAGGCCCCACCAGGTAGATGAGAGCTACTCTGCCACTTTAGCCACACATTGTCAATCAGTTGAAAGGTTTGGTTAAATTGTTGATGAGGAAGTCATTCCATATTATGGGTGATAGTTTGGAGTGTGCTGCTATTGTGTCTCTTGATGCACAGTGGTGCTTGATCCATTACCTGTATTTGCACTGCTGTTAGACATCCTATGCCATCATGTGTGGCATAACTTATGGTGGGAGTGACATTAACTCGTTTACAGACCAGATGAAAAAGATGTTTCTTTGTTTCCTCAAAGGTGGGGAACTCATGGTGAGTGGTACTGTAATTATAGAAGGGAAATAAATGAGAACTCTCATCCTAAGTATAAAAATAACTCCAAGTTCTCCCATTAATGGCTTGTATGCACCATAAACAGCCTATGGTGGAAAAAAAAATGGTAGTTTCCCTTAGACCCAACAGTATTTCTTAATTCTGGAGGGAAGCCGCCATCTGGCCCATTCAGTGAAAATGTTAGCTTTAAGAAAGATAAAGAATGTACTTATGACTATAAAATTAATTAAGAACTTCATGGTAACAGAAGGGTACTACTTATCTATCTGATTTTTCTTTGTTAGGAACTTTAGATCTTCTCTTGGCTCACCTGACGAAGTGGGCTGGTTGTATGAGGTATTGGGTTGAGGAGGAGCTGTCTTTATCTGAATATGTGGTAACCATGGCTTGATTCCAGCCTGTTTCTCAGAGAAATGAGTGGTCAGCAGCACCTTATGAAGTCCTGTCCACTCTTTGGCTAGCTGCTGGTCTGGCCGTTGGTTTTTGCAGGACTGTAGTAGCACCATATTCCCTGGGCAGAAAAGGTGAAGAGGTTCATCCATGGGATATGAGGCCCTGGAAAGAGTAGATGCATCATTAGTAATGTGTGCCCCAACTGTTGTACATATTGCTTAATTCTTGATTCGTTTACTAGATCTAAAGGTGGAATTCCCAGCAATTCTGGAGGAGTTTCTTATAAATTAATTTTAAAGGGCTCAACCAAAGCTCCCTTTGCAGTACTATTCTGACCTGGAGTAAGGCAATGGGCAAAACTTTATCCCAGGTTAAATCTGTTACCTGACAGAGTTTTGTCACCATCTTCTTTAAGGTGTGATTTATTTTCTACATCTTTTCCATCATTTGTGGTCTCCATGATGAATATAACTACCATTTGACCTGAAAAGCTTGACTCACCTTTTGTGTAATTTCAGGAATTTAAAAAAGGGCAATTATCACTTTGTATTGAATGAGAAAGTCTGAATCAAGGAATTATTTCCTCCCATAAAGCTTTATCTACTACTGTGGTCCTTTCAAACTTGGTGAAGTAAGACACATTCTGAAAATGTGTCTACAAATGTAAGCAGGAAATTTTAATTTCTCCTTGCCATTAGAGTGAAGTCAACCTGCCAATCTTTAAATGGACTCATTCTCTTGCATTTCACTCTTTCCCTTGGGAGGAGTAAGTAATTCCTTTATAATAATTCTTGGCACACAGATAACATCTCTGTGTGATTTTATGGACTTTTTTTTTAATATGATGCCCTCTAAGGTACGGCCACATCAGGTTAACCAAGATCTCCTTCCCACAGTGTGTCTCTTCATGTAAGTGTTTTACAATTCAATATACCAAGCATTCAGGGAGCAAACTTATCCCATGAATACTAGTCTTCCAATGTGGGCTAGGGTCTGCGTCAGCAAAACCCTGGTTGCAGGCACACTCTTCATCCCACGCAATATAATGAGGCTTGAAGTCTGATAAGTCTAAATGGGGTATTGAAAGCCCTGAGTTTTTGTACTCAGCTCCCCAACAGCTTGCTTTGCAGCTCTTTCTGCTGCTTGGTTCCCCTTGGTTATTTGTGAGTCATCTTTCTAATGCCCTGTGCAGTGCCTAATAGCGACCTGGGCCAATAAAGCAACTGCTTTCAGCAGGGTGAGAATCTCCATCTATGTTTAATATCCATATTACTGAGGTCAGGAGGCCTCTTTCTTTCAAATGGCCCCATGAGCATGCATTACCATAAATGTGTGCTTAGCAACAGTGTAAATATTTACCTGCTTTCCATATGTCAGTTCTAATGGTCTGGTAAGAGCAATTAGTTCAGCTTTTTGTGCCGAGGTGCCAGTAGGGAAGAACATGGGTCTCCATTATCCTATCTGCAGTCACCATAACGTACCCTTCTTGGCATCATCCATTTCTCATGAAGTGTCTTCTGTTGGTGTAAAGCTCCCAGTCTAGAGCTTTGGTCAGACAGATCTGGCTTCCTAGAATTAAATGATCAAGAATTTCCAGACAATTGTGTTCTAGTTCATGGTCAGGATCAGTGGCCAGGAGCAAGGTGGCTGGGTTTAGCTCCATGGTTGTTTGCAAAGTTATATTTGGGTCATCCAGAAGGATGGCCTGGCGTAGTAGTTGTCCATTCATGCTGAAGTAAGCCAATAGCCTCCCTTTCTGTTCCAGGAAGGTTAGCAACTGATGAGGAACAAACACAGTGATGGATTGTCTCAGGGTAAATTCCTCTGCCTCTCATAGAATCCCACAGGTGGTAGCCACAGCCCACAGGCAGGGGGACATCCTTTGGTGGATTGATGCAGCTTTCTAGAAAAATAGGCTATAGGTTTTGGGGTATCCTCTAGCATTTGAAACAGTACTCACTGCCCTATATATCTTTTTTTTTCTCATGGACATGAAGCTTGAATGGCTTCTGAGGATTTGGTGGTCACAGCAATGGGGCTGACATCAAATTTTCTTTCATAGTGTCAAATGGCTGTTGGAATTCTGCTAGGCAGGAGTTCAGAGTCCAGTCTTTTGAAGGCCTCATAAAAGAGCTTAGTCATAAGTCCAAATTTGGGGATCTGAAATCATCAGAAGCCTGCCATGCCACCAAATCCTCATAGTTTCCTTCTGTTCTTGGGGGCCTTTATAGTTTCTATTACTTGTTTCCTAATGGACATTAGTCTTTTCTTCCCCTGCCTTAATTGAAACCCAAGGTAGGTCACTTCTGGCTTACTAATTTGAGCTTTGTCAGGGGACACCTTGTATTCACACTGTGCTGGATGCTTCAAAACCAAGACGGTATTGGACAGACATTTTTTATAGCTTGAGCTTGCTATTACCTAATCTTTTTTTTTTTTTTTTTTTTTTTTTTTTTTTGAGACGGAGTCTTGCTCTGTGGCCCAGGCTGGAGTGCAGTGGTGCAATCTTGGCTCAATGCAAGCTCTGCCTCCCGGGTTCACGCCATTCTCCTGCCTCAGCCTCCTCAGTAGCTGGGATTACAGGCGCCCACCACCACGTCCGGCTAATTTTTTTTTATTTTTTAGTAGAGACGGGGTTTCACTGTGTTGGCCAAGATGGTCTCAATTGCTATTACCTAATCTTATACATACTGCAGTAGTACTCCTTCATCTAATTGTAAGTTTCTTAAGTCTTTTGCAAATATTTCACCAGAACAGTGGGTAAGTTTTTAAATCCTTGAGGCAATACTATTCAACAATATTGGAAAATCATCTTCCTTTCTGGGTTTTGCCTTTCAAAGGTAAACAACATGTGGACTTTTTCCTCAATTGGAATCCAAAAGAAAACATCCTTTAAGTCCAATACTGAAAAACATCCATAACTACCAGGTATGGCAGTCAATAAAGGATATGGATTTGGCACAGTCAGATGAATATCTTGAACTATTTTATTGATAGCTCTAAAATCTTGCAAAAAATAATATTCACTTGTGTGTGGCTTTTTCAGAGGTAGAATGGGGATGTTACATGGAGATCTGCAGGGGCAAATCAACCCATTCTCTAGAAGTTTTGCAATATAGGCTGAATTACCTTTAAAGCTTCTCTATTTAGTGAATATTGCTTTTATGGGGTATTTTTGTCCCTTCTTTGGTCTCCATACGCACCGTCTGTAAATTTCTAATTTTGCCTGGAGTCCCATATGGCTATATGCAATTACTCACTTGTTCATAATTTTCTGAGGAGAAGAATTTTTTTCCTTTTTATCCTCAGGACAAGTGAGAATCATCTGCAGCCACAGTGCCTGTTCCAGTGGGACCTGTAAGAGTAATTGCTGTTTCTCTGGAGAAGAAGTTACTTGAGCATTTATTTTACAAGGCAAGTCACATTCCAAGAAAAGAATTGGACATTCTGGTACATAAAGGAAACTGTCCTAATTACAAGTCCCCCAGAAGACATTCCAAGGGTTGTAAGATATGTTTTTGCTGCATTTTACCTACAATCCTTGTCAAAGACATAGTCATCTTAGTACCCTGTTCATCTGGAGTGTTAAAGACTGAATAAGTCACTTCAATATTAACTACAAAGTCAATTAGCTTGTTCCGCACTGCAAATTTTACTTGAGACTACTGTGGGGAAGTTTTAATTGGCTCCAAAATGTTCAGGGGAGCTTCTGTGCATCATCATTCTTTATCAGAGTCATAATCCTGTCCCACTGTCTGCAAGTGGGCCTTCTCCCTACACGTTCTTTCTTTTTCTGGTCCTTGAGTCTTTTTCTTTGGGGGGCAATCTGATATTCAGTGGCCTTCTTCTCTATAGTAAGTGCAATGATTATGGCCTAAGGCTTTACCCCAATTCCCATCCTTCCTTTGGCAAGAGTTTTCCCCGCCATTTGTACGTATGTCTTTAATAATTTTAATGTCTTCATTTCTCAAGCATAGCATATCCTGAAGGAAATATTAGCTAGGAGAGTTTTATCTCCAGTGACCCTTCTTGCTTTTCAAATTTTCATTTTACATCAGAGTCATTCTGCTGAATGAAAATCATAGCATTCTCAATCTGGGGAACCTCTGGGTCTATAACTGTATATTTAGAGTAGGCCTCTTAAATGCATTCCAAAAATTCAGAGAGGTGCCTTTTGGATAACTGTCTGAATTTTATTTAAGCTTTTTGTTTGGGCACCCCACTTCTGAGACCCTGCAGGATGCATATTCTATAATGCTTCAGTCAGGTCACAACCCATCATTGGGGTCCCAGTTAGGGTTTGTAACCAGAACTGCCCTGGTAGGGTTAGGGGTCCAATTTAGGTTTTCCTGGAGATACCAAGCTTCTTTATTTGCCTTGTCTATTACCACCTCCTTTTATCTGTGTTCAGGAGCATGTACAGAAGAGACTGGACATCTGCCCAGGTGGCCTGGCAGGTCATAAAGATAGCGGCAAAAAGTTCAGTCTTTTTCTGTGGGTCCTCTCTATAAGGTCAGTTGGAGCTTTTCTAATTCAATAGATTGGATGATGAAAATGGGCTGTAAGCCCAATAATACCAGCCAAACCATCCTTCATGGTTTAATCCACTTATAGGGTACTGCCTGAGCTGATATTGCCCTACTCTGGTCCTAGTGCTACCCTGGTCAAATTGGGTGTCTTACTGGGTCTTGTCAGAGGAGATCATTCCAATTCCCTTACTGTGTTGGGATGTGGCTGTTGCCCCCACTTCCAGGTCTAGGGCCTCATATGGAAATGTTGGACCAGCTTGGTCCAGCACAGTGGCCAGTGCGGCCATTAAAAGGACTGCTGGAACAGAGGATGGAGTGACCAGAGCAGCAGCTAGAGTGACAGCTGCAACTCCTGGGGCCATTGCTAGGGTAGCCCTAGAGCAACAGCCAGATCCACGGCTGGGGCAATGGTTGGGCAATAGCCAGGGCAGCAGCTGCCAGGACTGCCTTGGAGCCATGCAGAGGCATGGCTGGAGCGGAGGCTGGAAGAGGCAGGTTCAAAATATTTAGGAGGTCCATCTTGTTGTTTTTTTTCCTCCTGGTTTTTACTATCAGGTTTGGGAAGAGCTTTTATTCTCATTTTTCTGTACAGCCTGCAGTCTATTCCATCTCCCGACATTAGCCCTTTTTATGCAGTAGCATGAAAGCCTAAGTGTAGAGCATTTCGTCACATTTCCTGAAGCTGCGACAAAACAATTCCAGTTGTCATAGGACATAATCCTGGGTGCTCCTGTTTAAAGGCCAATATTCATCATCCTTCAATTTATACACAGGCCAAAAAGTGTTACTGTAAGGTTTTTTTATTTTTGTTTGTTTTTTTATCACTAGCTGATAAGCCTTCTGGCTATCCAGAATGTGCTCCAGAGAGCTCTGAGATATAATAGAAACTTTGCAGCCCATTTTAAATCTGTATAGGGCAACCCTGTAATCAAAGTCCCAGGGGCTGGATGAACTCCCCTGCTCTAGAACTCTTTGTGCATATAATATTGCTTGCATTCCAAGTGGGCACACTTGCACACATCTCTCCACACAGCAATGGCAGGCAGGGACATCAAGGAAAGAGTTCCTTTAGTCCTTGGTGGATAACAGTCCATATAGTTTTCTTTATCTCTTTAACTTTACACTAAGTCCATGTCCTACTGACCTGCCAACTACAGCAAATAGAAATAGAGTGACAACAAATAAGGTGATGAACTAGACAAACAAAAAGAGCAAATGGGTTAGCGTAAGGATTAGCTAAGAACTAGACTCAGGTTCTATTGATTCTATTTTCACATAGGAAGCACAGAGGGCAGTGAACAGGGAAGCATGCCTGTCTAGATGGTCTACAGAAATGTTCACAAACTTAATCTCCCTATACGTCTTGACACAAATATCTACAATATTTCAGAGTCCCAAAAAGCATTACAAAATGAGTGCCTCAGATGATGAAAACTGCCTTTTTCTTGGGAGAGGAGTGCTCTATCTCAGTGCCTTCAACAACCAGTTGGATCTGATCTTTAGCCAGTAGAACTGTTTCACAGACATAATGGAAACTCTGCTGCACACCACTGGAAAGAGGATAACAATAAACTCAGACACAGACAGAGACAAATCCAATGCAGATGGAGTATTCCAAACGAATCCTGAAGAGACAGGAGAAAAGTCCTGAGATCTTGACTTAAACCCAAATGGCACCACAGAATGACCTGCATTAGGTCCAGATAGTGCCACAGACAAGCTATTCTAGGCCCAGAGGACTAGAGAGCCCACATGGCAGAGACACAGGATTACTGGGTGCACTCTGGTTGACCTACCCAGTTCTTGAAGTCCATCAGCTTCCCAGATGCCACTTTCCTTACACCAATAAAGCATTATAGCAGCTGATGCCACAGGACTGGAGGCAGAGAAAAGAAAATCCTCAAGAAAAAGGTGATCTTGGCAGCTGGTGGGAATTCCCTGGAGCTCCAGTCACAGTGTCAGAGAACCACAAGCACCTGGCATTTGCAAGTTGCCATCACTCCACCTGGTATCTTGAGCAGGTAAGCCCTGACATGCTGCTATGGCCAATTCCTCTGCTGGTTAGAAACCAGGAGGACAGGCTAAAACATTTGAAACACACAGCTCCTCACGTGGGGCAGCAAACTTGTAACTGATCCAAGTTTGGCTGCTTGCTACTTGGAAGCCATACAAGAAGTGTGTGAAAGGTACAGTGAAAGGAAAGCAGCTTTATTGAACAAATGCCAGCAAGCGAAGAAATCGTGGGGCTGATGCCTCCCATAAGCCATCTCAAATTTTAGGCTGGGTGAAGGGATTTAAGAAGGGAAACTTGGCACGAGAGCATGAGGGGGCGGTACAAGGTAGGGGGCCTATATGTCTTGTCTCAGTGGCTATCCTGAGTTGTCTGCCTGGAGTGTGGGTTGGCACCATTTCAACAATGGCTGGGTTGTAGATTAATCTCTTTGAGACAATCTATTGGTGTGTTTTTCTGTGGGTGGGAATGCTGCAGCTGGGTCTTCTTGCCTTGTTCATTTCAAGATTAACCTCTGACATTTCTAAACAAGCACAAAATTAGATAAACTAGCAGAGTTCAAGGGGTGCCTGATGGGGAAAAGAGTAAAACAAAAAGTTTCAAAGTAACTTTCAAAGCTAAAACTAGAGAAAGGAAAAAAAAACGTTTTAAAATGTATTTTGAAGCTGAGCTACTTGGTTACAAAGTTAGTAATAAGTATTTTTGATAGAGTAATTTTAGTACAATGTTAAATTAGCTGGTGACTCAAAATCATTAGTGTAACTAGTTTAGTGTAACTGACATTTATATTTTTACTTTCCAGCACTGAGTATTCTTTTTTCAGAGAGGAAACTCCAAATTATTGGAAACCCTTCTTCTCCACTGACATTTCAGTACTCAATGAATTTCTTAACCCTGGCCATAGCCATTTGTTTAGAGATAGGCATTTGGCCCAGATTAGCATTATAAAACTCAGGTCTTGGATTTCTTTTATAATCTTTTGAGATAGAAGTTATCTCCTTTCTATTGGTTTTACCAAGGAAAGGAACCTAGACTACAGATTTTGACCTCTGATTTCCCTCTACCACATACTATTTCTTCTAACACTGTTGTGAATAATTCAATTATGGAAAAAATTCAGAGGACTGTTGACTATTTTATTAATAACTATAGACTAAATGTTTAAAAATAATATTAATGAGAGGTGAAGTCAGCTGGACTTCCTGGGTCAAGTGGGGACTTGGAGAACTTTTCTGACTAGCTAGAGGATTGTAAATGCACCAATCAGTGCTCTGTGTCTTGCTAAAGGTTTGTAAATGCACCAATCAGCACTCAGCACTCTGTAAAATGGACCAATCAGCACTCTGTAAAATGGACCAATCAGCGCTCTGTAAAATGGACCATTCAGCAGGACGTGGGTGGGGCCAAATAAGGGAACACTGGCCACCCAAGCCTGCAGCAGCAACCCGTTTGGGTCCCCTTCCACGCTGTGGAAGCTTTGTTCTTTTGCTCTTCACAATAAATCTTGCTGCTGCTCACTCTTAGGGTCTGCACTACCTTTTTGAGCTGTAACACTCACTGCAAGCATCAGTGGCTTCATTCCTGAAGTCAGCGAGACCACGAATCCACTGGAAGAAAGAAACTCCAGACACATCTGAACATCTGAAGGAACAAACTCTGGACATATCATCTTCAAGAACTGTAACACTCACCGTGAGCATCCGCAGCTTCATTCTTGAAGTCAGCAAGACCAAGAACTCACCAGAAGGAATAAATTCCAGACACATTTTGGCAACCCAGATGGGACTATCGACTATCGCCAAGTGTGAGCACCATCAGACCCCTTTCACTTGCTATTCTGTCCTATGTTTCCTTAGAATTCGGGGGTTAAATATCAGGCACCTGTCAGCCAGTTAAAAGCAACTAGTGCAACTGCTGGACTAAAGACACAGGTGTCAGGCTTTCTGGGAAAGGGGTCTCTAATAATCCCCTACTCTTTGGAGTTGGCAGGGTTGGTTTGCTGGGAACCAGCTTCTGCTTTTCCTGTACTTCTGGGCTGAGCCATGGGTTGACAGAGAGGAAAGCCATTCAGCTCAGGGGTCCCAACAACAAGTTGGTTGACCCTGCGGCCATGAGTGGAACTCTCAAAGTCATGTCGCCCAAGCGAGACTTGCCTGTCTATCCTATCTATCTTGACCCTTGCCTCCTGGGTCCTAATGCCTGCCAGACAAACTTCCTCTCACCTCTCTTCTCTGAAGCTAGTCCTACTTCTAAAAACCACTCCCTGTCTCTGGTGCTTTTCTAGTTTCTCCTATAAGAATGATTTCTAGTATAAAATTCAGGACTCTGTTACCTTATTTTGGCACCTGGGCTCACCAATCAGAAAGACATAATTTTTGCCCAAAGCCCTGTTGGGGTGGGGGACTATCTGGAATTTTAGGATCCCTCCTCCGACTAGCAGGCCTAACAAAAGCTATTGCTGAAGCTAGGATGTGGGGAGCCTCAGAAATGATATTCTTCCTATTCAAGTGAGGACAAAAGGCATTACTCTTCCAACCCTGGAACTCCCTTCCCTCTCTCAGGGTATGGCCCTCCACTTCATTTTTGGGGCGTAACATCTTTATAGGACACTAGTAAAGTTCCAGTACTAACGGGAGAATGCTTAGGACTCTAACAGGTTTTTGAGAATGCGTCGGTAAGGGCCACTAAATCCGACTTTTCTCGGTCCTCTTTGTGGTCTAGGAGGACAGGCAAGGGTGCAGGTTTTTGAGGATGTGTCAGTAAGGGCCACTAAATCTGACCTTCCTCGATCCTCCTTGTGGTCTAGGAGGAAAACTAGCGTTTCTGCTGCTGCGTCAGTGAGTGCAAATATTCCGATCAGCAGGGTCCAGGGACTGTTGTGGGTTCTTGGGTAAGAGGTGTTTCTGCTACTGCATCGGTGAGCACAACTATTCCAGTCAGCAGGGTCCAGGGGCTGTTGTGGGTTCTTGGGCAGGGGGAGAAACAAAACAAACCAAAACCATGGGCAGTTTTGTCTTTCAGATGGGAAACACTCAGGCATCAACAGGCTCACCCTTGAAATATGTCCCAAGGCATTGGGACAAATTTGACCCACAAACCCTGAAAAAGAGGTGACTCATTTTTTTCTGCACTACAGATTGGCCCCAATATTCTCTCTCTGATGGGGAAAAATGGCCGCCTGAGGGAAGTATAAATTACAATACTATCCTGCAGCTTGACCTTTTCTGTAAGAGGGAAGGCAAATGGAGTGAAGTACCTTATGTCCAAGCTTTCTTTTTATTGAAGGTGAATCCACAACTATGCAAAGCTTGCAATTTACATCCCACAAGAAGACCTCTCAGCTTACCTCCATATCCTAAACTCCCTATAGCTCCCCTACCTATTAATGATAAGCCTCCTCTAATCTCCCCTGCCCAGAAGGAAACAAGCAAATAAATCCCCAAAGGACCACAAAACACCCCTGGCTATCAGTTATGTCCCCTTCAAGCTGTAGGGGGAGGGGAATTTGGCTCAACCTGGGTACATGTCCCCTTCTCCCTCTGATTTAAAGCAGATCAAGGCAGACCTGGGGAAGTTTTCAGATGATCCTGATAGGTACATAGATGTCCTACAGGGTTGAGGGCAAACCTTCAATCTCACTTGGAGAGATGTCATGCTATTGTTAGATCAAACCCTGGCCTTTAATGAAAAGAATGAAGCTTTAGCTGCAGCCTGAGAGCTTGGAGATACCTGGTATCTTAGTCAAGTAAATGACAGAATGACAGCCGAAGAAAGGGACAAATTCCTTACCAGTCAGCAACCCGTCCCCAGTATGGATCCCCACTGAGAACTTGACTCAGATCATGGGGACTGGAGTTGCAAATATCTGTTGCAAATATCTAGAAGGACTAAGGAGAATTAGGGAAAAGCCCATGAATTATTCAATGATGTCTATCATAACTCAGGGAAAGAAAGAAAATCCTTCTGCCTTCCTTGAGCGGCTACGGGAGGCCTTAAGAAAATATACTCCCCTGTCACTCGAATCACGAGAGGGTCAATTGATTCTAAAAGATAAGTTTATTACTCAGTAAGCCACAGATATCAGGAGAAAGCTCCAAAAGTGAGCCCTGGTCCCTGAACAAAATTTGGAGGCACTATTAAACCTAGCAACCTCGGTGTTCTATAATAGGGACCAAGAGGAATAGGCCCAAAAGGAAAAGCAAGATCAGAGAAAGGCCACAGCCTTAGTCATGGCCCTCAGACAAACAAACCTTGGTGGTTCAGAGAGTACAGAAAATGGAGCAGGCCAATCACCCAGTAGGGCTTGTTATCCATGTGGTTTACAAGGACACTTAAAGAAAGATTGTCCAATGAGAAACAAGCCGCCCCCTCGTCCATGTCCACTGTGCCGAGGCAATCACTGGAAGGCACACTGCCCCAGAAGGCAAAGGTTCTCTGGGCCAGAAGCCCCCAACCAGATGATCCAACAACAGGACTGAGGGTGCCCAGGGCAAGCGCCAGTTCATGTCATCACACTCACTGAGCCCTGGGTACGTTTAACCATTGAAGGCCAGGAAATTGACTTCCTCCTGGACACTGGCGCAGCTCTCTCAGTGTTAATCTCCTTTCCTGGATGACTGTCCTCAAGGTCCGTTACCATCCGAGGAATCCTGGGACAGCCTGTAACCAGGTATTTCTCCCACCTCCTCAGTTGTAATTGGGAGACTTTACTCTTTTCACATGCCTTTCTTGTTATGGCTGAAAGTCCACACCCTTATTAGGGAGGGATATATTAGCCAAAGCTGGAGCTATTATCTACATGAATATGGGAAACAAGTTACCGGTTTGTTGTCCCCTACTTGAGGAGGGAATCAACCCTGAAGTGTGGGCATTGGAAGGACAATTTGGAAGGGCAAAAAATGCCCTCCCAGTCCAAATCAGGCTAAAAGACCCCACCACTTTTCCTTATCAAAGGCAATATTCCTTAAGGCCTGAAGCTCATAAAGGATTAGAGGATATTGTTAAACATTTAAAAGCTCAAGGCTTAGTAAGGAAATGCACACCCCAATTCTAGGAGTACAAAAACCTAACGTTCAGTGGAGACAAGTGCAAGATCTTAGACTCATCAATGAGGAAGTAATTCCTCTATATCCAGTTGCACCCAACCCCTATACCCTGCTCTCTCAAATACCAGAGGAAGCAGAATGGTTCACTGTTCTGGACCTCAAGAATGCCTTCTTCTGTATTCCCCTGCACTCTGACTCCTCCCAGTTTCTCTTTGCCTTTGGGGATCCCACAGACCACATGTTCCAACTTACATGGACAGTCTTGCCCCAAGGCTTTAGGGATAGCCCCCATTTGTTTAGTCAGGCACTGGCTCAAGATCTAGGCCACTTCTCAAGTCCAGGCACTTTGGTCCTTCAAAATGTGGAAGATTTAGTTTTGGCTACCAGTTGGAAGCCTCATGCCAGCAGGCTACTCTAGATCTCTTGAACTTTCTAGCTAATCAAGGGTAAAAGTTGTCTAGGTTGAAGGCCCAGCTTTGCCTACAGCAGGTCAAATATCTAGGACTAATCTTAGCCAGAGGGATCAGGGCCCTCAGCAAGGAGCAAACACAGCCTATACTGGCTTATCCTTGCCCTAAGACATTAAAACAGTTGTGGGGGTTCCTTGGAATCACCGGCTTTTGCCGACTATGGATACCCGGATACAGCGAGATAGCCAGGCCCTTCTATACTCTAATCAAGGAGACCCAGAGGGCAAATACTCATCTAGTACAATGGGAACCAGGGGCAGAAACAGCCTTCAAAATCTTAAAGCAGGCCCTAGTACAAGCTCCAGCTTTAAGCCTTCCCACAGGACAAAACTTCTCTTTATATGTCACAGAGAGAGCAGGGATAGCTCTTGGAGTCCTTACTCAGACTTGTGGGACAACCTCACAACCAGTGGCATACCTAAGTAAGGAAATTGATGTAGTAGCAAAAGGCTGGCCTCACTGTTTAAGGGTAGCTGCAGCGGTGGCTGTCTTGGTGTCAGAGGCTATCAAAACAATATAAGGAAAGGATCTCACTGTCTGGACTACTCATGATGTAAATGGCATACTAGATGCCAAAGGAAGTTTATGGCTATCAGACAACCACCTACTTAGATACCAGGTGCTACTCCTTGAGGGACCATTGCTTCAAATACATAAGTGTGTGGCCCTCAACCCTGCCACTTTTCTCCCAGAAGATGGGGAACCAATTGAGCATGACTGCCAACAAATTATAGTCCAGACTTATGCCGCCTGAGATGATCTCTTAGAAGTCTCCTTAGCTAATCCTGACCTTAACCTATATACCAATGGAAGTTCATTTGTGGAGAATGGGATATGAAGGGCAGGTTATGCTGTAGTTAGTGATGTAACCATACTTGAAAGTAAGCCTCTTCCCCCAGGGACCAGTGCCCAGTTAGCAGAACTAGTGGCACTTACCCGAGCCTTAGAACTGGGAAAGGGAAAAAGTATAAATGTGTATACAGATAGCAAGTATGCTTATCTAATCCTATATGCCCATGCTGCAATATGGAAAGAAGGGGAGTTCCTAACTTTTGGGGGAAACTCCATTAAATACCACAAGGAAATTATGGAATTATTGCACACAGTGCAAAAACTCGAGGAGGTGGCAGTCTTACACTGCCAAAGCCATCAGAAAGGTGAAAGGGAAAAGGCAGAAGGAAACCGTTGGGCAGATGCTGAGGCCAAAATTGCTGCCAGGTGGAACCTCCCATTAGAAATAACTATGGAAGGACCCTTGGTATGGAGCAACCCCAACCAAGAGGTTAAGCCCCAGTATTCCCTGACTAAAAGAGAATGGGGACTTTCATGGGGTCCTAGTTTTCTTCCCTCAGGGTGGTTAATGACAGAAGAAGGAAAGGTACTTATACCCGAAGCCAGCCAGTGGAAAATGCTTAAAACTCTCCACCAAACTTTTCATATGGATATTGAAAACACTCATCAAATGGCCAAATCCTTATTTACAGGGCCAAATCTCCTCCGGACCATCCGACAGGGAGTCAAAGCCTGTGAGGTGTGCCAAAGGAATAATCCCTTGGTCCATCGTAAGTCCGCTTTGGGGGAACAAAGAATAGGTCACTATCCCGGAGAGGACTGGCAGTTAGACTTCACCCATATGCCTAAGTCAAAGGGATTTCAATACTTGTCGGTCTGTGTCCAGTACTCAGTGAATTCCTTAACCCTGGCTACAGTGATTTTTTTTTAGAGATAGGTATTTGACTCAGATTACGATTATAAAACTCAGGTCTTGGATTTCATTTATATTATATTGAGAAAGAAAAAGTGTTCTGGTTGGTTTCGCCAGGAAAAGGAGCCTAGACTGCAGATTTTGACAACTATTCTTCTGTAAGTCGAGAGATCCCCTCAACCCCGAGAATGACACCAATGCTGAGTGAGCTTGGAATTTAGAGAGGTAGAGATAGTAAACATGAATTCATCCTCAAGCCATTTAATTCAGCTATACCTGAAATAAAGCTTATTAATTTGTTCCAATAAAGTAATATGCTGTTTGTTGTTTTCACTAAGGATATTTAAATTGCTATTATGGAGTTTGCTACCTGATGAGTTGCAACTCATACAACTAGTAAGTAAAAGGCTACTTATTTCATTAATTCACATCTTCACAGTACAATTTAGTAATGGAAGTAAAGCCAAGTGTCCACCATATACAGAATTCAGACTATTTTGATTTAGATTTAAATATTATAGAAGCATAAATGACTCATTCTTTGACTTAAAAAATCTTTAGTACTTAATGATCAGTCACATTTGTGTGCAGAATTTAATTATCTACTAAGGAAATGATGTACTTTCATTTCAGGATCAAATTTTTAAGCAAATGTAGGGGATGTTTAAACTGTCACTTGATATATCAAGTCACAACTTTATCAGCAATTGAAGAAATGTAAAAATGTGCAATTAAAAGAAATACAAAATCTATTTTTGTATAAAACTTTCAGCTTATTAAACTGTTTTTAGTTATTAGCCTGACAGACGCTAGTGTGTGTAGGTGGAAGAAAAATGTTTTAATATAATTAAGTTTAATACTGCAGCAGGAATAATGAATTCTTTTTGCACTCCTGCAGGTAAAAAGCTGTGTGTCTTCAGAATGTTTTCTGAACTCTCTGATATTTGAAAACCAAGTTTTATTCTCTACAGTAATTATTGTGGAATTTGTTCCATGAACTCTTCCAGTGTATGCATTTATACACTGCATTATTGTACATGCAGGGCCTGAGACATATGTCTAGTATTAGGATCAACATAAAACTATTAGATTGATTAACACAAAAAAGTAGCAGAAGGATGAATAATGGAGTGATTATTTTTCCAGCTTAAAAATAATTCAATAAAATAATTTTGAAAAAAAATATTCTAAGCAATATATGTAAACTGAGGCAAATACTTTGCCATTATTTTGCATATAGAATATTTCAAGTTTTATGCCTTTGAGATGATATTTATCACTTTCATCTAGGAATACAAACCCTTGACTATCTGTTGATTGCCCACTTCCCCAGGCTTTTGTCTCTCTAGTCTCACATACAACACAGCTACTTGGACTTTAATTTATTTCTTCTTCTAAGCTGTTTCCAGTTCTATATAATTTGCAAATGCATTTTTTCTTTCTCCAGAATGTAGTCTTTATATTCTTTACTTGCCTAATTCCTCCTCCTCTCTCATGTATTACTTTAAATGCTATATGCTAAGTTACTCTTACTTTAATACCTCAACACTCATCAAAATTTAGTCACTTTTAGTTGCTATTTAGTCCCAATTTAGTTGCTATTTTCCTAAAGATAAATTACTATAGTTTGTAAATATATATACACATATGATATAATTTGGATATTTGTCCCCTTTAAATCTCATGTTGCAACGTGATCTCTAATGTTGGATGTGGGGCCTGGTGGGACGTGTATGGGTCATGGAAGCTGATGTCTCAGTGGTTTTAGTGCAGTCTTCAAGATAGTGAGTGAGTTCTCGAAAGATCAAGTTGTTTAAAATCCTGGCTTTTCCCACTCCCCACCCCCGCAAACCCTGTTTTCTGCTCCCGCTCCCCCTCCTGCTATGTGACATGGCTGCTCCTGCTTCACCCTGAGGATTCCCCAGAAGCTGAGTGGATGAGCAGATGCTGGTGTCATGCCTGTTCAGCCTGCAGAACTGTGAGCCAATTAAACCTCTTTTCTTTCTAAATTACCAGGTCTCAGTTATTTCTTTATAGCAACAAAAAATGGCCTCTATATATTTACATGTAAGTATATATACATATATACACTGCACTATTGTACATGCAATGTCTGAGACATATGCCTAGTAATTATTAGGATCAATATAAAACTATTAGATTGATTAATATAAAAAACAGCAGAAGGATGAATGATGGGGTACTTTTTTTCTAAATTCACTTCTTTGTATTTTAACATATAAACCTAAAAGAAAGTAGCTTTTTAGATTTTTGAATAAAATATTCAAGGTTTTGTAAAAATCTTATTGCTTTGACTTGCTCACATTTCTAAACAATATATAAAATTTAATGTAACAAAATATGTGAAAACATTTATCACACATTAATGTAGTTTAAAGTAAAGAAGTGCAGTGTATAGAAATATGATTTCAGTAATAAATTTGTAATATTTCCTTAGAAGACACTGCCACTTTTACTGAAAACAAAACCTGAATTTAAACTTACCTTGCTTTGTAAATCTCAGTTATTCCCTATATAGATGACATGTTGTTTCCTTCTCATTACACGTATACAGACAGGCATACCTGCCTTTCCTGTCTATTGGGCTTATGTCTTAAATTTCAACCACTAATCATCACTCCATGAATCCTTCCATCCTCCTCTCCCCTGAAATGTGTCACTATCTCCTTTTCCTCACTGGATAACTTGCATTTATTCTCTAAGATTTCATTTTAAACAAGTTTTTTCATTGATACTACTTTAACTCTTATCCTAAATTCAAAATGTTGTATTTTCTAAAGTTTTTGTGGAAGTATAACATAGGGATGTAATGGAGTGAATCATAGGTTTTTAGCATGACAAATCGTTACAAAGTACAAATGCTCACATGCCAGATATGCAATATTACTGCTGTCCTAAAGATCTACTTTTTTTATCCTTTCAATCTCTACCCTCCTTTTCATTCCAAAGGTCAACATTACTCTTATTTCTAACAACGTAACTCAATCTGCCTGTCACTGAACTTTAAAGATGGAATCGTACTTTTTTGTGTTTGATTTTGGCCTGGGCTGTCTTTGGTAAGCATCATAATTCTGAGTCTCTTCATAGTGTTTCATAGAGATGGGATATATTTTTATTGTTGCATAATATTCTGTTTTTATGCATTCAAGTTGTTCTTTTTATTGTCATTCAAACAATTATTGATGAACATATATTTACCTGTCTCTCTTTATTGGCTATTCTGAATAATGCTGCTACCAACATCCCCATTTTAACTTGCACATACTTATCTACTCAGGCTAGACACACACATGCACACAAGCATCCAGAAGTAAAATCAGTGAGTCATAGGGTATCTTTATGTGAATACTGCCAGATTGCCACAAAATATTTGTATCGATTTGCCAGCTACCCCCAAATGAAAGTACCAATTGTTACACAGCTTAGTCGATACTAAGATTTTGTCTTTCTTATTTTGGTTTTTCTCATGTATAAGCACAGCATCACTTTTTTATTTTTATAGTATTTTTTATTTTTAATCTTTATGTACATATTTTATGGAGTACACATGATATTTTGATACAAGTATACAATATGTAATGATCAAATCTGGGTAATTGGGATATCCATCACTGCAAAGGATTGCCATTTCTTTGTGATGAAAATATTTCAAATCTACTCATCTAGTCACTTTGGAACATACAATAAATTATTTTTAACCATAATCATCCTATTGTGGTTCTGAAAACTAGATTTTTATTTACATCCACACGTCCACACAAATTTATTGCAATATTGGTTGAAATTACGTTGAGTACATAAACAAGTTTGTGAAAAAATTGTCATTAAAATATCAAATTTTCTAATAATTTTTGACATACTGATCTATATATTTGGTTTCACTTTAATTTTTGGTAGTAATATTGTATAGTTTTTCTTATAGAAGTCTTGCACTTATATTGACATATATGTAACTGTAAGACAATAAAAAGCTTTTCTTTTTAATTTATAAAATTTTGGTGATTTAGAATAATTCAAGTGATTTTTTGTTCAATTACTTAGCCAGCTTTACTTATAATTAAAAATAATTTATTGCTATATTCTTCTGAATTTTCTAACCACTCAATATGTTGCCTGTAATTAATCATAGTCTTGTTTCTTTATTTCCAATTTTATAATTTTCTCTTTTTTATCATATAGGACTGGCAAGGACCTTGAATGTAGTATTGAATTGGCATGGTGACAGAGGTCATGTTTTTCTCATCATTGATTCAGAGAAAGACTCTCGAAGTGTTTGTAGATTTTGTTGGTGTTGTTATTAGTATTCTTTATCTAATTTTTAAAAAACTATTTCCTTTGTAGCCACTTAATAAGTTTATATAATAATTAAAGATAAAATTTTACTGAATAATTTTTCTACATCTTTTTATATCTCCACATATGTTTTTCTCTGTTTTATTAACCTGATAAATTACCTTGATTGATTCATGAATATTAGATAAATAATACAATTCTGGAATGAGCTTAATCTGTTCATAATTTTTTTTACAATTAAATATTTGAATTTGACTTAATAATATCTAATTTAGAATTTTATGCTGATGTTTATGAAAGTTATTGGCCAATAATTAACTGTCATTGCAAATGTTTGTCACGTTTTGTTAGCAAGATGATTATAGTTCTCAAAGCAAGTCTAGGAATGTTTTCAAGGGATAGATGAGTTGCCTTTTTCTTAACTATTTGATTACATGTACTAGGGAAGTCATTTCTACCTACAGTTGTTTTTGTGGGAAGGGTTAAATTTTATTATATAAAATAATTCGGATTTCAAAATTTTATCGTGTCTGGGTATTTCCTAGGACACGTTTCTATTTCATCTATATTTTCAGAAATATTTATATAAAGATACTTGTAATATGCTTTTATAATCATTTTCATATTCGTAACATCTCTAATAATATCCACTTTATCATTCCTATTATAGATTATTGAGACTTCTCTCTTATACCTTGATCTGTCTCATCAGGAGTTTATTATTTTTAGAAACGTATCATAGAATATATAAGTAACCTTTACTATCATGATTATTTTCTATCTTGCCATTTCTTCAGTTAATTTAAATGAGAGGAATGCTTAGATCTTTGAGTTCTCACCTTATTTTCTGGAATATGCAGTGAGCATACAGCTCTCTTCTAATCATAGCTAGCAATTTTAGCATTCAATTAAAATATTTTCTAATTTTATAATTATTATTTTCATCTCAATTTTGGTTATTTGGGTGTCTGCTTTCCAATTTAATTGAAATTCCATAGTTATTTGCTTTAGTATTGATTTTTAAGTGAATACCATGATATTAGATAATATATCATTTATTTTAAGCTTTTGATATATTTTATGACTTACTCTGTGGCCCAACACGTGGTAAATTTTAGTTAATCTTCCATCATGTGTATTTCCAAAGAATGTATATTCTGAATTTGTTGGGATGGGGCCATATTTATCAATCAGTTTGTTCATATATTTTACAGGCTTATTGATTTTTTTCTCGTCAGTTTATCAGTTACTAAGAAAGCTGTTTAAATATTTCCAAATATGCTTTTGGATTTTTCTATTATTTAGTTCAGTTAATTTTAACTTATGTATTTTAGGGCAATTATTAGGGCATACTTACAATTTTATATTTTATGGTGATTTACAATTTCTATTATGACATGTCATCACATTACTTCATCATAATTATAAAGTTGCTCTTCATCTCTAGAAATAATGTATAATTGACAGATACCTTAAAAGAAGAGACAGCATCAAATGCAGGGCTCCACTGCCTGAGCTTTCTTTCCTTCCTGCAATCTCATGGCCACCAAACACTTACCACATTTATTGCCCCAGTAACTTCAACAAATTTTTGTAGTTTTTACTTTGTTTTGTTTCGTTGTTTTAGTTTTTTCATGTAGGAAGGTTTTCCTGACAACCTAGTACACAATTTTCAGAAGATCACTCTATTTTTTGCTGATTTTACCAAATGAACTGTATCTGGCAAGCAGAGGTGTCTTCTAAGCATATAATTCAGTAATTGTATATAATTTAGTTGACGTTTAATGATTTTAATTTTATGGATATGTACATAATGAGACCACACAAGAATTCTCACAAAACTAGGGATAATGCAAGTAAATATAAAGACTTCACAATTGGAAAAAAATTGAGATCAAAATTATCTTTCTATTGTAAAATAAAACTAATGAATGGTGGAAATAAGACAAATTTTATAAAAAACAAAAAATATTTCTGAATTAAAAGATAAAGCAGTAGAGATGCCTCACACTTTTACATATGTATCTTATCTCACCCACAATGAAATTCTGTAATAGCTGAAATGCTGCTACCTCAAGGCTTTCAATTCAAGGAATACTACTTCTCTTTGATTAATACATAAATATAGAAATGACATATAACTTCTGTATCTGGCTACTGTATACCTCTCCAGCCTAACATTATGAAATTTTCTCTTTTCTTTAAGTTAACCAAATATGCTATGCTACTTCAGTTCACTGAATATTTATTTGCATGTAGGGTATTCTTATCATCAAATGCTCAATCTTTCTCTCTTAGGCCACTTTATTTCTTTCACTTTTAAAAATTAAAATCAAATATAATTTTCCAAGTAAGCCTTTTTTCATCTTACAAACTAAGAACTTTTTAATTGTTATCTACATAGTATTTTTCTTCAGAGATCTGTGTTAAAACAATTGATAGTCTCTGTCTCACAGATTTATGACAATTGAATACAATGAATATGTGCAGTAATCGGAAGATTTCCCAGAATATTATTACTCAATAAAGTTTAGCTATTATAATTATTTTCTATTGTTATGTAAAATGATGAATTTTCAAATGAGTAAAAAATTTCCTCCAAAGACCCAGTTATTAAATGGTCATGTTTTCTTTCATAATCAAAAATATTTTTTAAATGTCTGCCTGCCTTTCTTTTTCAGCCATTTTGCATATTTTCCTGACAATTCCCTGAAGTCTGTGTACATTTGCACACAGAGACTTACATTCACACACTGACACATGTACATTTGTAACTGAATATTTGATGGACTTCCTATAGTGTTTTTAATATACTAGTTAAATAAATATAAGTAGTTGGTTTGGTAATCCATTGTTTTCACAAAATTGTGAAAATTCATACATTATTGGCAGTAGTTATTTCAATCATTTGGAAATATTCATTTATTTCATGGATTAATTAGAAAAATATTTTATTACTAATATTCTTTTATATTTGCTTGTTTGTTTTTTCCAAATAGCCAACATTTATCCAAAATGGCAACTTGGAACCAAAAAGTTTCTGTTTAGACTATAGAGAAATCTTCTTATCATTTATTTATGTAGCGATGCTCATGTTTACTACATTTCATCTCGCGCAAGTGCTTGAATATAACTTTTTCTGAACCTAAGATAAATGTAAAATAAAATTAAAATAACATTGTAATAGAAATATAGTTTTTGATGTGGTGCATACGTGTGTACTGCACAGTGTGGTGTGATATGGTACATCAGCATCTGATTTTGGTTTTTTTCCCACTCAGCTGCTTATTAAAGTTGCTTATTTTCCTCCTAGGCTATAAAAGGAAGGTTATGAAGATTATGAGATTTTAGCAGTAATCACAGGCCAACCTCCACCATTAATATACAGCACTTAATCTAGTTTTAAAATAGAAATTAAAACAATGTATTTTACATTTCAAACTTTATATTAGAGATGTGCAAGTGCATATAAAAGTAAAACAATTTTAAAATATTTTCCAATTGAGATTCTTCCTGGTGAATAACTTATGTAACATATTGTTTAAAAAAAAGGCATTTGATAACAATATTAATGAGTTTTATTAAACTACGTATGTGTAGGAAAATGTGTGTGTCTTGTATGTGTGTGTATGTACATATGCAAAAAAAAGAGCTGAGAAGAAAAAATGTTGCTAAAATAAGTTGCCTTTATAAAATAACGTGAGTATAGGTATAGGAAAGCCATTGTAGCTTTGACAACACAAAACTCAGATTATTTTATGGTTACTTGAAACATGGGTGAATGCTGATCCCCCAAAATTAAATATATTATTTAAAATTTTATTTGACAGCAACTTGGACTATGGGTAAATGCTGAAATAAAATTGAGAATATTCATTGTAAAAAAACTTCATTCCGTGATTCAACTTTCATTTTAAGACTTAAACACATTTATTTTAATAGTTTATAAGACACTCTCCAAATGGCTAAAAATCTCCCAGAAAATTGCACTACATCTTAAATAGACTGTTTGACTCTGGATTGGTTTTCTCAGGTTTTCTTTGTTAAAAGCAAATGCTCATTTGTCAAATGCAAATATATATTCTGTTTTACATATATATGTATATAATTGTATTTAATGATTATTTTAGAATGTCATGTAATAAAACTGGATATGTAAATCAGAAACATTAAAGAAAATATGTTCCAAATATCTTTTCCCTGGGTAACCTATTATTTCAACAAGGTAAACATTTTAAATTTCTGGTAAAATTATTTTTTTCCATAAGTCTCCCATAACAAATAAAGTATTAATAAATGTGAATGCTTAATTCATTACATAAACCAGAATGATACACACCACTTATCCCAAGAAGATCAATCAAATTAATCTTAAATATTAACACAATTCATCAGTATCAAGTACAGTGTCTTAATCAGTTTGGAATGCTGTAACAAAGAACCATAAAGTGGATTACTTATAAATTTATTTCTCACAGTTCTGGAGACTAGAAGCTCAAATTCAGGGTCCCAGCATGGTCAAATTCTGGTGAAGGTCTTTTCTGGGTTGCAGATTCAACTTACATGGTGAACAGAATGAACTAGTTCTCTGGCCTCTTTCTGTAATAGCACTAATGCCATTTAGTAGGGCTCCATTTCATTACTTCTTAAAGATGCCACCTCCAAATACCATCCTATTGAGTTCAGGCTTCAACATATGAATCTTGAAGGGGCACAAACATTCAGTCCATTACAACCAGATTTATTTGATTTATAATACATCTTCAAACAGCCAGCAATTTGTTGATTTAATTTTTATAACAAAGATCAATAGAACAAAATAAATTTAAGTTACATTAAATAAAGTATACAAAATATATGTTTTAAGCAGATATGCACTTCAGTAATTGATTAGAATTGAGATCATTAGGTAATCGTAATAAATTTGGGCCCAATCATTTTCTTTTTGGAGTATCTCAAATTGATAGCTCAGAGTTGAGCACTTTGATTATATTGAAGATATGACATATTACTTTTGGTATACTACATTTTAAGCAGATTATATCATTTATTATTATGTTTATAATTTTAAGAATATATATATAATTTATGTCTGCGCTAAGAAGTTGGTTGCGAAAGTTATATTTTCAAAAAAAAATTTCTATATGATCATTGTATATTTTTGAAGCAGTTTAATTGCAGTTTTATAAACAGCCAAATGTTCAAATCTCTCTCTAATCATCAATGCCCAAAGTTAGAGGAAATACCATTAAGTAAAGTTATCACAAAAAATTTTCCCATCACCATATTTTGTGTTAATTTTTCCTGATTTTTTAAGCTAAAAAAACATTGTACTTCTTTAAATTAAATGAATCTATAGTAACTGATCATAACATTTTAATTATATTTAGCTCTTCTAAGTCATATCTAAAACACAACGAAATAATTTTATAATCATAATTGTTAAATGAACCTACTACTGGTATATGAATTAATAAATGAAAAAATGCCGAACTTTGTTTCTTTAAACCATCGAGAAACATTTTTGAAAGGGAGAATGTCTTTTCTTGATATTTCTTTACCATCTCTTCTTAACTTGCTTGTGATTTAAAACCAGAAAGAAACATTCTTCCAAAATCAACAAGCTAAGCACAATCAATGCCTCTGAACAACAATACTGTTCATTACTTATCTTTATATTGCACACAAGCCCCAGGACAGTGCCATACATGCATGGACTATAGTACTTGAACATATTTTTAAATTGGATTTGAGTAGACAGCCAATCTCTCCTGTTGCCTCTCTACTTTAAAGAAGTAAGTAGAAGAGTTGCAGGAAATCATACTCTTCTAACGTCAAGCCATAGGAAAACAGAAAAGAAGTATGCTACAAGGAAAGGGACAAATTCTTACTGGAAAAAAAAAAGCTATACTTGAGGGAAATCTAAAGTTTAATTCAGTAGATTTATCTTCTGGTATATGCTACATTCCTTCTAATATTTTCTCTGACTGGTGATGGGGAAAGGAGCATCATCAGAAGTGGTGATATATCCATATGCAACACGCAGTAACCTTTCAGTTTCTATTATCTGACCTCCTGAATGTGCTTCATCATCCATCGTTTCTTCAACTGGCTAAGTTAGAAGTTGCTCCTTGTAACGAAAGGTTGGAGACTATGAATTTGGTCCAAGTTTCTCATTTTACAAAGGGAAAATTGAGGTTGAAAAGGTTAAATGACTTTTTCATGGTCATGCATATATTCAACAGGAAGTCAATCGAAAAACTCTTTTTTTTTTTTACTATCCTTGAGAGATCATGCACTGAATATGAAATATGAGGCTCCTCCACAAACCTCTGTGTGTGTGTATGTGTGTGTATTCACTACAAATAAATACTTCTTATAAATTATATCTACTGTTACTGAGTCAGAAAAACTTTGAAAATTGAGAAATGCAGATGTATTAAATGACTTACAGACCATTATAAGTATATATTGAATCTGAGAGTATTTATTTAATGATAAATCACACATTTATTTTTACTATTTAAAATTACTTCTAATTTGGAGACACTAATTATGAGAATAACTCTTCTCTATGTTAAACTAATTTATTATTGGATTAGATTAAATTTTTGATAATAATAAAGAAAATAGCAAGTTTCTCAGCCTATTTCAACAATATCACCTTAATTCCTATGATGTATGTAGTTAGCATGTTTTATGTATGAAACTTTTTGAGAGTCAGCAAAGTACTTGAAGAAAACAAAAGTATTATCACCCTAAATATTTCATTAAGATTATAATTTGACCAGAAATTCAGTAGGTTTTAAACATTATTTTTAATCTAAAGCTATTTTCCTTATTTAGTATTTTCTTTGTGCTCTTCGTCAAATGATGATGTTAAATTCAAATACACGCAATTTTGTCTTGAGGCTAATTCACAAAGGTAATTCTTCAATTTGATTATTTTTCCCAAGATGTGATCATAATAATTGTTTCAATTTAAAGTATCATACTAAAACAGAGTTTTTTCTGCATATGTTAGAGTAATTCTCACATACTCTCTGATGGAGGAATTATACAACCATTAATGTTAAAGGGGTTAACAGGTATAAAACAAACTACTCCAAATAAAGAAAAACAAATGAGTTAACAGAAATTTATTATTTTCATAAGAAGTCAACTTTTTTAATATAAAATGTTCTAATTATATTGTTTTCACTAAACTGAACTATTAAAATTATTATACCATTGAGTTGGGTTTAACTGGAAGCTTATATTCACCTAAAATATGCCATCAATTGTCATTAACTTATGTGTTCCTATATGAGCTTGTCATACTTGTTAATAAATTTATGTAAAGTATTTTGGAAGCAATTATTTACCATTGTCTGATATACTGAGTGCTAGTGCTATTTAAAGAATATGTGGCTTGAGCCATCAGTTATTCTATTTAATATGAAGACTATCTGTTTCTGGTGGGAAATCACCACAGAAGCAAAAACATTGCCACCAGAGACCTTGGCCGACTTGGATCTGCGAAGAACTAAAAGCATTTAACACTTAAATGCTTGTTAAATATCCTTGTATGATATTTAAATATCCCACAAATGTTGATATTGCATTATTCACTATATTGCAAAGAATCACCAATGTGTATTTTATTGTATGCTTTCCAAATTATGGCATTTGATTCTAATTTGAACATTACATTCTGGAGTATAATTGTGATGCGCACTTGTATGTAGTAATAAGACTGTGAAAAGCCAAGTAAATGTAAGCAATGGCCTTGACTAGTTAAAACAGGATTTCTCAAAACCAGTCTGCAGATCTCTTGCACAGAATTACCTGGAATGTTTGATTAAATTAATATTTTTGGATCTTTCCTAAGATGTACTGAATTAGGATCTGTAGGATTGCAAATGAATAATCTAAAAAGTTATTAAATTTGTTTTTAGTTTTTGGATTTGAATTAAATATTTTTTAAACTTTTGTATTTGAAATATTGTGGTATGATTAACATGAAAAAAGCTGTAAATATTTAATTCACACAACTTGATGAGTTTGGAGATAAGTATACGTCTTTGAAAACATCACCAAAATCAATGTCATAAACCTATCCATGTATAATTCTAAAATTATTTTAATTTCATATAAGCATTCATTTTAGAGCCATTGATGTAAGCTGTATCATGCTAATTATATTATGACATATATTATATTGTAAAATATAATGTATTATACAACACAATACATTATATTGTATCTTATATTATATTATATAATAATATATATTATATAATATAATATATTTGAGGCCTCTCAAAGAAGCCTCAAATGATGGAAAGCGGGGTATCTATCCACTGCACTCCACCCTCCATTGGTTGAAAGTTGCCCCCTAGGAGAGCCAAGTCTTCCACACTTCCAGAAGACATTTCTGTGCTGGCAAAGTGAGTTCCCACAGCTTCAGAGCAAGTATGGGGCAAAGTATTAAAAGACACTGGTACACACTTGTGAGTATTAATGTTAGCATGAGTCTGAGGTTGCACAAACAAACAAACAACAACAGAACTTGGCAATCACAGCCATGGCACGCCTAGTAATTTTAAACAGTCTGCCAAGTATCCTGCCTTTAATAAATGGGCTGTGTCTTGCCACTGCTCAGATGAGTTCATACCATATGTAAAGTCCTCTCTGTAATACGAATGGTTTCTAGTCACAATTTCTATAAAAGTCAACACTAGAAAACTAGTGGAAAAACTTTAGTCTCCGCTACTATAAGGCAGCATCATTAGTGTTGTGGTGAGAGAGTGAGGTCGTAATTATGAGTCCATACAAAACACCCCTCCTAACACCAGTGCTACTCCATTCATGTATACATTATGCAAGTATGAGATAATCAAATATAGATGTGGCTGAAGTATACAAGACAAGCTATCTTGTTCTACATGTGTTGAATGCCTTCTCTGCAGTAGAGGCTGTCTTCTCCCTTATCGATGTTAATGTGAACCACAAAGACCTGCAAACTTTGTGTCAGCTTATGGTTCGAGCCCCAGTTTTTCTCCAAATCTTTATGCCAGTCTTTCAATATTGCTCCTTCATGATCCCAGAAAAATCAGGTGAGCCACTTATCACTAATCAGGAGTTCTTGTACATTCTTACCTCACAATCTTTTTCTCTGTATACAGACTTGAATATCATGTATAATGCACTACCTAAGTGAGAGAATTTCCTCTTCATGTTATTTAAAGCCAGCCTTGAATGGAGTTATAGCAAGGCAGCAGTTCATTTTCAGATTTGCTCCAAAATACTAAACCACCCCTCCGTGAATCAAGCTTGAACATTTTCCTTTTGTGTCTACTGATGATGAAGAATCCCCATGGAGACTATAGGTGAGAACTGAGTTAGATAAGAAGGTACAAAGGTAATAGGTTTGATGGGAATTTGAGCCACTTGTACCTGTAACACACCTGTGTCATCTTTAACAGTTCATGTTTAACTCTAAATGTAATATTTCCACCATATAATTTGTAGCTGTAGTGCCCACTTAACCATATGATGTAGTAGATCTTGCTCAGGTTTTGGTGGGGAGCAGTCTGAGTCAAGCAGTAATGTACCTTATAATTAGTTCTTTTATTTTACTTGGGTCCAGTAATATATGAGAAATAGCTTTTCAAATGGTGAGTAATTATCTTTGCCCTAAGATTCTGGCTGTGATTCTCCTTTTAGAGTTCACTTATATTACAGACTCTCCATATCATTCTTATCTACCTCAAATACTTCTAGTATTTTGACATCTAGATCTAATGGGTAGAATGTCAGGGTATATTACTGACTAAATTTGGTTTCATGTTTAACCCTTTCTTGCTCTGGGTTGCACTTCAAACTGACAACCTTGTGTCACTTGATAAATGATCTTTCCCAAATATTGTCGGTTGTGCCTCCAGAATCCAAAGAGACCCATTAATTAGCGTCAAGCAATGCATCAGCATAATATCATAATTAATGCCAATATCATTAATGTTCTTGTGAACCCCAGTTTACATTCATTCTGGTGAATGAAAGTTGTTTAAAATAAAAAACTGATATTTATTATGTACACTTGTGACAATATTGAAGGACTCTTCTTCAAAGAGATCCAAACTACTATTCAATCAATGAGTGCTGTGATAGAGAACTAGTTCAGTTGGAAAAACTGAGTAAGAAATAAGTTTTTTTTTTACATTGCCAATGCTATCATTTACATCTAATCTCCAGTTCTTATTTTTTCTTGGTTTCCCTAGTCAAGTAGTACCCAAGTGGGATCCCCAGCTTTCATCTCCAGGGAAAACATGGCTTCTTAGCCATTACTACATATCTCTGTAGATCAAAGCACTCTGGTTGCCCATTTAGTTTTGCCTTCTGATAACTATGCCTGCTTGTCTCTATTGCTTAAGTGGAACAACCTCACCTCTACAATTTTGGAATCCTATTATTCATATCAATGCTGGGATGCCATGCCTGGTTACAGGGAAGCAATTCATACTATCATTGAACATACTGATCTTATATCGCTGGTGCACATACACTATTGCTTTGGATACCATCTTGCAGAAATGTGTGTCTATTGGGCCCTCCTAGGGAATATAGTCAAGTAATAATTTTCCTTGTTTCAAATAATAAATTTGTTCTAAAATTCTTTACTCTTTCAAGACATTTCTGGGATCTCCATTTTACTTCTAAGAATATCATAGGGTCTAAGCTTCAAGAACTAATCTATCTTTGTAGTACATTAAGGCTGATAAATTATGCATAATGGGAGAGTGCTCCCATGCTAATAAAATCTACCCTATTCGCATGCATCATTTTGTTTCAATATGCTCAAGATTCATACCCACAAATGTCTTGTGTCTTTCAGATACATCTTAACTGGGTCCTGCAATTCTTTAACTAAATAAAGTATGACCTCACAAAGTGGAAACTGTATTTCTCTACTTGGTCTATTTGACACCATATCACAGTTATTTTTCTGGAGCGCAGGTGTGGGAAAATGTTGTGAACTATAAATATCATCCTGTAAACAATCCCTCTCCAAGGAGTCCCCAGTTGAGGTCTCGGGGTTTCTTTCCAAGAGACTTTACTGTAGCACAGGATATTATCAATCCAAACATTCAGTCTCATTGAAGCTATCACATGCTTATAATCATACCTATGCTGGAAACAGAATTATTTGTGTTGTTAATTTAACAGCCCAATGATCAGAAATAACATCAGGAAAGTATCAAAAATGAAGATATTTTTATTCTAATGTCCAAATACATCCATGATTCTGCTTTAAATTATATATTACATGATTATAATCAATTATCACATTGTAATTCCTAATGTTTCTTTTTATTGTGTTAGCCAGGAAGTGATCCAGTGAGATCTTCTGCTGTGGGGGGCATAACTGAGTAATGGCCCAAGCTGTTGCCCTTGTGAATTCACTGCCACATTTGTGCTGAAGCTAGACTTTCCACAGAAGTCTTCCAGACAGTGATTAAGTGCACTACTTGCTCTAATGCAGGCCTGTTTCTGTGAGATATAAGTCTCAACTTAGAGACTTTGGCTCAAGGTCTCTCAATCCGTCTGGATAAAACTCTTTTTGAACTATATTACACTCTAAGACTCTTTCTATCCAACTCTTCTCCCACCTTACCAACTTCACAGGAATCATATACTTTTTGTGTTCTGAAATTTCTGCCCATCTTACCTGGTTATCTACCCCTTTTCTTTTCTTTTTTAATATTTTATTTTATTTTTTGAGATGGAGTCTCACTCTGTCGCCCAGGCTGGAGGGCAGTGGCGTGATCTCGGCTCACTGCAAGCTCCGCCTCCCAGGTTCACGCCATTCTCCTGCCTCAGCCTCCGGAGTAGCTGGTACTACAGGCGCCTGCCACCATGCCTGGCTTTTTTTTTTTTTTTTTTTTTTTTTTTTTTTTTTGTATTTTTAGTAGAGACCAGGTTTCACTGTGTTAGCCAAGACGGTCTCGATATCCTGACATCGTGATCTGTCCACCTTCGCCTTCCAAAGTGCTGGGATTACAGGCGTGAGCCACCGCGCCCGGCCTACCCCTTTTCTTTTATAGGCATTTTTCTATGCCTCCTCCTGCCTTGGCGTCTGCTTCTGTACTTTAACTTCAGTGGTGCAAGAAAGACTAAAGTTAAGTTGAGATTTGGAGACTGGTTCACTCACTACCTGACAGGCAAAGAGAATGCTATTCTGTGTGGTATGTGAGACACAGACAGTGCCTGAGACAAGGTGGCAATCCAGTTCCTGTTGATTTCACCAGTGCTAACATGGGGAGATATCCTAGGTGGATTTCCTTGTAGTTGATATTGTCTGTATATTTGAAAGATGTGAAATTAATAAAGCCTACAAAGAAAACAGAGTGAGCTATTTATTGCTAAGTTATGTTAATAATACAGAGAAGGATAATTAAAAGCTAAAGAGTAAGTGTGAAAGTAGAATGTCTCTTTGATAGCAAGTCCTTTATCTCCTGCAGTAGAAAAACATAAATAGCCAAACAATACACCAGAGATCTGACAGGTTTGCAGAGCTTCCGAGATGTCTAAGTGCTTAATCAAGGCATGTGCGTTGTGAAAAAACAGGAGCCTTGGTTGAGAAAACCTAAGATCTAAATATGTGTCTAAGAAACTGAGAAGGACATTTCTGAAGAAGTTGATTCTGCAGAGCCCTGTGAATGTTCAGAGATTACAGACACAACCCATACTTCTCTACTAAGAACTAGATCTTCCTCTCCACTAGAAGATGATGCAGAAGAATTTTGCTCTTCACCCACACCCACAAGCAACCGGTAGATGCCGTTGGAGCTGCCCCCACTTCCCCTCCTTCAGGCAGCCACATAGTGTTAAATAACAGCATAACCCATCTGGTGATGTGCTCATTCTGATAAGGAGAAATGGGTTTAGCATTGGGGGAGCTAGCACATAAACCTAGTAGCCAGCGTATTAAACTGCATATGAATTTTGAGGATGCACTATCAACGGGAGTAGGTGAAAGTCTGGATAATCGAGAATTTTTTTTGAGTGCTCATATTTGGAACATAGTATGTAATAATCTGAGAAAGATCTCAGGGGGATGGAGAAAACTCACTGTGATGGTGACTCTTAGAAGCCTAGAGAAATTATTGAGTAATGCTGATTATGATGGAAATTCCTGAGTTTCAGTAATAGATATTAGAGAAAAGAATAAAGAGGGTCAAGGCAGTGGGAATAGAGAAATGAAATATTATGTGAGACCCAAAGACTCATCAGAGATTATTTCCAGAAAATGCAAAGAAACAAACAATGCACCAACACCATTAGTGAGAGTCACCAGCTACATTAAGAATTTTAGTTGTAGTTCTCCTCTGAAGACTAGAGATTATGGTGTTGGCGGCAATTACAAAGCTGGATTCATACATATCTCTGAGGACGTGAGGCCCTGAAGTAACAGAGGTGATTAGTCACAAATACAGTAGTGGCCAGAAAAAAATGAAGCCAATTCCAAGGAACCTTGGAACAGAGAGTATTGCAGAAATAATTAATACAGCATGGCAGCCCTGGGGGAAGCATAGGCAGTGAGTCAACTGTCTTACTTTGTTACTTAACATCTGTAACCTCCCAAAAAAGACAAAAATGAAGTAGCAGGAGTTTAAAAACAGTTATCAAAATTCAAAAATCATGATTCTTTTACCAATATCAGGACCTGATCCAATTTTTACATCTGAAATATATTGGCTGAAAAAACGGTAAGGTCTGTAGCAGCAAAAACACTGTAATACAATGGCATATTTGTTGTAATCATGTTCTCAGTCTTTTCTTCAAAGGAACTGTATTAGTCTGTTCTTGTGCTGCTATAAAGAACTACCTGAGACTGGGTAATTTATAAAGAAAAGAGGTTTAATTGGCTATATAGGAGGCATGGATGGGGAGGTCTCGGGAAACTTTCAATCATGGCAGAAGGTGAAAGGGAAGTGGGCACGTCTTACATGGCTGGAGCAGGAGGAGGAGAGCCAGGTGGGAGGTGCTACACACTTGTATACAAGTATATCTCACAGTAACTCACTCACTCCCTTGAAAACAGCACCAAAGGCGGAATCTGCCCCCATAATTCAATCATCTCCCACCACGCCCCACCTTCAACATTTGGGAATTACAATTTGACATGAAATTTGGGTGGGGATATAGAACTAAACCATATCAAGGACCTATGACTATTTAGTAAAGTTATTGTATACACTTAGAAATTGGAATAGGGATATCCAAACAGTTTGAGAACAATTGAACACAGGAGCTGACTTGACATTGATATCTGGAGACTCAATGTATTATTATGGCCCCTGTTAGAGTGTTGGCATCATGGCCAGGTAATAACAAAGTCCTGGTGAAATTCTACCTTACGGTATGCCCAGCGGGTTCTTAGAACCATCCTAATACTCATTTTCCTTGTCATAAAGTGCCGAATTGAATTAATATACTTGGCAGTAAAAGCAACCCCCACACATGTACTTGGCCTGTGAAATAAAAGCTATTATACTGGGAAAGATCAGGTAGAAACTTTTAAACTCTTCATCACCACATAGCAAGATAGTATATAGATATATGAATTAATAGAGAAAAGAGAGGGAGGGAGGGATAGAGAGAGAAAGCAAGTTCCTATATACAACCCTAAGAAAGGACATAGATTAGTGCTAATTATTAAAGACCTAATGAATGAAGGTCAATCCAATGCTCTCTATTGTATAATATTTGATTTTCCAGTCTCTTCCTATAGAAACCAAATGGAATCTAAAAACTGACTATGTATTACCACAGCTGAAACAACAACAGATATCTATTTTGAGCTTGTTTCTGTCATACCTGCCAAGTCATAAAGTCAGATAGGTCCAGAGGTAGCACATCAAAAGAGAGAAAATAGTAGGACAAAGGGGGATGAGTAAGTTATAGGAGCTGGTAGCTGAGTGCTGATCTATCAGAGCTGTACCAGTGCTGCTCTCTACCCATGGGGTATCCATTATGACCAAATGAAAGAAGAAAAATATCTGAATGTGATTTATGAGTGAGTTGACTCAGTGCCTGGGTACAACCCAAAAATGAACTACATCACACCCACATTCAAGTGTGGTCTTGAAAAATTGTGGAAATGGAAAATAATACCAGTGAACAAAGTGTGAGCAGCATCACTGGTCATCCTAATTTGGCCCAAGAATATATAGACATTAATGGGTACCTGTCTGACAATATGGCCAAGAGCCCGGAAATGTAATAATTAGAAAATAAGAGGCAATGACATTTGTGATCAATGCATGTGGATGGACATCTCATGAAAATAACCTCATAATAATCTTTAAAACATAGGAAGGTTAAAAGATAAAAATGAAGTAACATTTCTAAATTTGAAACAAAATAAAACAATAATGATACAAAATAAGTGAAGAAACATAAGAATAGATGGTGGTTTGTCATCAGAAACACAGACATGTTTCTGGTATGTTTATTTCTCTTGCTGACAGAACCATGGCAAACACCATTATCCAGGCAAGAGTGCCTGATCCACAGACATGTAATTCTACACAGTTAGCATTCAGGGATCTACTTTACAGCAAAGAAAGTACAGAAATGGACACATGACAATAGGATACACAGGTTGCATGATTACATTACATAGCACATCAGCTAGAAGGAGCTGACATTACACAGTGCTGAAACAGTCTTCTAAAAATACACTGAAGTGTCATCCCTGAAGCAATACTCCATGCTGGTCCCAAATTCCTGGCCTCAAGTGGTCATCCCAACTCAGCCTCCTGAAGTGCTGAGATTACAGGCATGAACCACCACACACCCATCCTCACTATTCCTTTTTAACATCACAGTGGAAGTCCTAGAAAATATAGTAAGACCAAAAAAAAAAAATAATAATAAAAACGAAAAAAGTAGGGGAGACAAAAGTTGGACTGATTGGGAAGAAAAACATAAAACTATCTTTGTTCACAAAGGACATGATTGTCTATGTAGAAAACCCAAAGGAATAAAAAATAATAACAACAAAAAAACACTTGGAATTAATAAGTGATTATTATAACAAAGTTGCAGGATGCAAGGTTTATATACAAAAGTCAATCATTTCCCCATATGCCAGTGCAAGTACAAAGTAGAATTTAAAATTATAAAGCACAATACCATTTATAACAGCAACTCTTTGAAATGAAGTGCTATAAATACTTAGTTATAAATGTAACAAAATATATGCAAGATATGTATGAGTCAAAGTGAAAAATTCTAATGAATGAAATCAAAGAATAATTTACTAAAGAGACAGTCCATGCTCACAGATAGTAAGACTCAATATTGTCAAAACATCAGTTCTTCCGAACTTAATATCAATTCAAATCAAAATCCAAACAATTCTCACCAGAATTCCAGCAAGTTATTTTGTAGATATTGATAAATCAATTCTGAACTTTACATGGAGAGGAAAAAGACTGAGAACAGTCAACATAATATTAAGGGAAAAGAATAAAGTCAGATGACTAAAGCTACCAGAATTAAAGACTTATTATAAAGCTATAATAATCAAGACAATATGGGATAGTAAAAGAATGGACAAATAAATTAATGGAACCAAATAGAAAACCCAGAAATAGGCCAACATAAATATAGCCAACTGCCCTTTTACAAAGGAGCAAATGCAACACAATTAAGCAAAAATAGTTTTTTCAACAAATGGTATTTGTTGCACTTGAAACAACTGAATATCTGTACACCAAAAAAAAAAAAAAAAAAGAATCTAAACCCAGCTCCCACACTCTTCACACAAAAAATACCTGAAAATGGATCGGAAACGTAAAGGTAAAACACAAAACTATAAAAATCCTAAAAGATAGCATAGGAGAAATCCTAGATGACTTTGGTTACAGTAATGACTTTTTAGGTAAAAAGTCAAAGGCATATTCCATGAGATAAACAATTGATGTTTGGGACTCATCAGTTTAAAACTTCTGCTCTGCAAAAGACACTGTAAAGAATATAAGAAGACAAATAACAAAGTGAGAGAAAATATTTGCAAAAGACATATCTGATAAAGGACTGTTACCCAAAATACACAAAAATCTTTTAAAACAATAAAAACTGAAAATTATGATTAATAAATGGGTAAAACATCTGAAAGACACTTAGCCAAAGAAGACATAAAGATGGCAAATAACATATGAAAAGATATTGAGCATCATATGTAGCTAGGGAATTGCAAATTAAAACAAAAGCGAGATACCAGTGCACATGTTCTAGAATAGACAACATCCAAAACACCCACCAAATGCAAGTGAGGACATGGGGCCGCAAGAACTTTCATTCGTTGCTGATGGCAATGCAAAATGGTACAGCCTATGTGAAAAACACTTTCCCAGTTTCTTATAGAGACTAAACATATTCTTACCAGATTATACAGCAATTGTACTTCTTAGTATTTACCCAAATAAGCTAAAAACTTACCTCCACACAAACACCTGCACATGAATGTTAATAACAGCTTTTTATGTAATTGACAAAACTTGGAAGCAGTCAATATATCCTTCATTAGGTGAATGGATAAGTTACTGTGGTATAAACCACTATAGTATATTTATGGGGGTCTATTTCTGGGCTTCCATTCCATTCCTTTGATCTATTTGTCTAGTCTTTCACCAATATAACATTGTCTTGATTACTGCAGCTTTATAGCAAATCTTGAATTTAGATAGTTTCAGCCACCGGACCTTGTTCTTTTAGTTCTATATTGTCCTGACTATTCTATCTTTTGGCTGTAAATAAACTAATAATAAATTCTAAAGAAACTTTAGAATCAGTTTGCTGATATCCACAAAATAACTTGCTGGGGTTTTGATTAGAATTTCTAGGATTTTGATTGGATTGATATCAATGGACAAACTGTGATATATACATGCAATAGAATGTCATTCCATACTAAAAAGAAAGAGCTATCAAGCAACCTTAAATGTATATCACTGTGTGAAAGAAACCAATCTAAAAAGGCTACATTCTATATGATTTCAACTATATGAACTCTAGAAAATGCAAAACTTTGGAGAAAGTAAAAGGGTGAGTAGTTGTCAAGGGTTAGAGGAGAGGGAAGAATGGATAAGCAGAGCACAAGGTCTTTTAGGGCAGTGAAACGACTCTGTGTGATACTGTAATTGTGGACACATGTCATTATATATTTGTCAAAAGACAGGAAGTATAAGAGCAAGAGTGAACCCTAATGTCAACTATGGACTTAGGGTGATAATGATGTGTCAGTGCAGGTTCATCCATTTTAACAAATGTACCATAGTAGTGCAGAGTTTTAATAGTTGAACAAGCTGTGAATATTTGGAGGCAAGAGTAATGGAAAATCTCTGTACCACTTCCTCAATTTTTCTGTAAATCTAAAACTGCCCTAAAAATAGGATATAACAGAAAATTCTATATTCTAAATATCTACTCCAACCAATTTAACATGAATTTCTGGGAGTGTGGTCTTGCAGTGCACATTTTTTGAGCTCTACAGATATTTTACATACACTAATGCCTATGATTAACATAAGTTCTCTATCAAACTTACATAGCAAACATTGATTGCTTCATTTCATAAAATTTACTATTGTAAAATTTTATCTCACCTTTTATATCATCCATACCTTTCCAAATATTTAGGAAATCAATAAAGCTTCAGGAAAGATTATACTACACTTAAACTTCTAGAAGTATTAGTCACATGTTTCTGACATTTTTTATTATCTGAGTTATTAGAACTATGTTTAATTTAGTATCAAATAAACAGAAAGATTACATATTCTAAACCTTTCTCTGATGCCTTTTTAAATAAACACCAACATCTCTATCTAGCAATCATATTCTATTCATGTATTTAATTTCACATATTGTTGTATTATAAATATTTTACTTTTCAGTTATGATTTTTAAAATTTTTATAAGACTTTATCATCTCAACATGAATATTTGACTTACTCTGAAATTCAAACTAATTATATTCCACTGTTCACACAGTGCCTGTCTCAGGCAGACACTCTACTGTCACCCTTCCCTGCTTTCATTCTCACATTTTCTCACAATATAAAAGAATATTAGGTTATAAGCTACCTTAGCACAGCTATTTATATAATCCCTCCCTAATTCTTTTTTTGGGTGTGAAAAGTGAAAGATAAACAAAATAACAAAGGCAATATTACTTTTATGCTGAATCATAATCATAAACCACTTTAAATTGGTTTCACTATTTAAATTGGTTACTGGCAGCAGAGTTTGTATCAGCTTTCAATACCATTTTTAGTTTATTTCTTTGATAAAAACAGTTAATACTATTGGTCGATATATCCAAGAAGGTCCCTACTTAAAATCACCTCAGTAGTATGATACAAATTTACCAGTCAATTAAAAGCAAACACCCAGTTTATGAAATTATTGCAATAAATTATTGTGAATGTTCTATCAGATTAAAACAAATTGTGATAAAACAGAGAGTCTCTAAGAATTACATTGGACAGTCTAATTTATTTGGCCTGCTTCCTGTGAATTAATAAAATAAAAATGAGGATTTATTTCCAAGGTTATCTTTACGTTGAGATGAAAAATCAAGATAGCCAAAAGTTTCCTTTTAGTTGAAAAAGAAGGGGAAATAAAAAGCCATATAGCTTTCATAATATATATATTAAAATCTTGCTTGTGAGTGAGGGAGTATGGGAGCTTACAATATGTAATTTAACTTTTTCCTCATTTTTAAAATATGAATTTAATTATTTTATGGTTTTAATTCTACTTTTGACTTAATGGTTTGAAATATTGGCTCTTTTGTTAGCTAATAATTTAATGTTTATTAAGTAATAATTTTTTTCCTGAATTTGTTATATCAGAAATTTTAGTAAAAAAATGTTAACATTTATATTTTTAAGACTGTATTAATGTAACTTTCTGTTAAATTATGTAACAGATTTAGCTTCTGATTGATTATACAAACATAAACACATATATAAATTTATATATGTGTGTGCACATGCGTGAATATATATGTGTGTAAATATGTGTGTATGATTATCATTATTGCTATTTGTATGATTGTCACTTTTTTATTTATTGAATAGATTTATGATTACAAGCATAGTTGTGTTACATGGACATAAGGTGTAGTGGTGAAGTCTGAGCGTTTAGTGTACACATCACCCAAATGGTGTACATTGTAGCAAATACGTATCATCGGTATTCTGAGGGTTCTTTTAATGGCTTTTATGGGGTCTTTATTAATTTGTTTGGCTGGGCATTAGATAGGCCTCTTTGACTAATATGATGAGTTCTGGAAATTAACAAATACAGATATTTTTGATAATCACTTTTTTGTGTTCACAAATTTTTTGAAAGCATTTATAATAGCAAAATATTACAACTTCTTAATAAATCTTTAAAAATTTTTGTTTCTACACTTATTTATATCACTATCTGTTTATTTTGTTTTGAATTTAGAAACATTTCCTAAATTTTATCTTCCAAACTTCTCAGTACATTTTTTAAAATTTTAGAGTACTTTTTATTTTCATGAGATTATTATTGACTTGTAAGTGTTCTTTTTCAGACTTATTTTTATAATTACAATATTTGATATCTCTGAAATTTTAACTATATTATCAAAATTATTTCTAATCTCTCTCCCATATTTATTTTTCCCAGGTAAATATTAAAATAGGATACTTTTTATGTCTCTCTTTTAGAAGAGGCTTGAAGAAAGTAAATGCACATTCCAAAAGAGAAAAGAGATTACCATTAAAAAATGTCATCATAAATAGCCACTGTTTAGGTATTTCATCAACATCTAGAATAAATTAAAAACCATACCCATGGATTTATGTAAAGAGCTTTAATTTTGGATCTATCTGCCCCAAAAGGGGAGAGAGTTCAGGGAGGATGCCACATTCAATTGCAAGCTAAGAAAGCCTATATGTTTCCTTGCAGGTAAATGTACTTTGTACTGATAACGGACTCATGGCTGTGGCAAAAGAGTGTATGGTTACTTATAGGAGATACAGTGACTGGCTGACCTATGAATGAAAATAGGACTGAATAAAGCCAGGGACATAGACTGCAGATTCACAATGTGTTATATACATGAGAGTTTTCAGTTTATTTTTTATTTGATATTCACAATACTAGTTAATCATTTCCATAGTCAAATATTGAAAACTCACAGATAATATGAAACAGCAACAATGACAACAATAAATATAACTAATAAATTGTAAAATCTTGAAAAAAATTTCCACCAACTGCAGTTCACTTGTTGCTATAAGCAGCATTTGCTCACTGATTCATCTATACTTGTTATCAAGTTGGGTGGAAGTCTCTTGCTTGCCAATACAAATGGATGCACGTCCTTTATGCTGTATTATTTTAAATGTTGGGTTGGCACAACATATCAAAATCTATTGGATGAGGCAAAAGCAGTGTTAAGGGTGATGTTTATAACACTAAACACTTAAAATCAAAAAGTTAGAAAGATCTTAAATTAACAATTTACATCACATCTATAGGTACTAGAAAAACAAAAACAAACTAAATCCAAAGCCAACAGAAGAAAAAAAAATAACTAAAATCAGAGTGGAATTGAAAGAAATTGACACCCAAAAATCCATACAAAGAATGAATGAAAAAAAAGGCATTTTTAAAGGATAAATAAGATCAATAGATGGCTAGCTAGATTAACAACAATAAAAAAGATCCAAATAAGCACAATCAGAAACAACAAAGGTGACATTACAACTGATGCCACAGAAATAAAAAAACATCATCAGAGACTATTATGAAAACCTTTATTCACAGAAACTAGAAAATCTAGAAGAAATGAATAAATTCCTGAAATCCGCAATCTCCCAAGGTTGAATTAAGAATTGAAACCTTGAACAGACTACTACTGAGTTCTAAAATTGAATCAGAAACAAAACAAAACAAAGAAAAACCCTACCAACCAAACAAAGTCATGGATAGGATGGATTCATGGCTAAATTCCACCAAATGTAAAAAGAAGAGCTGGTATTAATTCAGCTGAAAATATCCCAAAAAATTGAGAAGGAGTGACTCCTCCTTAACTCATCCTACAAAACCAGCATTGCCTTGATATCAAAACCTGATAAACACATAATGAAAAAAGAAAACTACAGGCCAATATCCCAAATGCATAAATCCTCAACAAAATACAAGCCAACTGAATTCAACAGCACATCAAAAAGTTAATTCGTCATGATCAAGTAGGCTTCATTACAGCAATGTAAGGTTGGTTCAATATACACAAATCAATAACTGATTCACCTCATAAAAACAATTAAAAATGAAATTCATGTGATCATTTAAATAGGCATAGAAAAACCTTTGATAAAATCCAAGAGTACTTCATGATAAAAACCCTCAAGAAACAAGGCATCAAAAGAATATGCCTCAAAATACTAGGAGCCATTTATGAAAAACCAACAGCCAACATCATACTGAACAGGCAGAAACTGGAAGCATTTCCCTTGAGAACTAATTAGAACAAGACAAGGATGCTTACTTTTGCTACTCCCATCCAACATAGTACTAGAAGTGCTAGCCAGAACAATCAGGTAAGATAAATCAAAGGCGTCAAAACAAAAAAGAAAGTCAAAATATCTCTCATCATGGATTATAAAATTCTATACTAGAGAACCCTGGAGACACCACCAAAGACTCCTGGTACTGATAATGTCAGTAAAGTTTCAGGATACAAAATAAGTGTACAAAAATTAGTAGCATTTTTATACACCAATAACATTCAAGCTGAGAGCCACATCAAGAATGAAATCCCATTTATAATATCCACACACAAAATAAAATACTTTGGAACATATCTAACCAAGGGTGAAAAATCTCTACAAAAAGAACTATAAAACTCTGCTAAAAGAAAACATGTGTGATACAAATGGAAAAAAATATTCTGTGCTCATGGACTGAATGAATAAATATCATCATAATGGTCATACTGCCCAAAGTATCTACAGATTCCATGCTATCCTTATCAAACTGCCAACAATAATTTGAAAAATTATTCACAAATTCATATGGAAACAAAAAACAACATGAACAGCCAAAGCATTCCTAAGCAGAAAGAACAAAGCTGGAGGCATCACATTACCTGACTTCAAACTATGCTATGAAGCTACAGTAACTAAAACAGCATGATCCTGGTACAAAAACAGACACAGAGTGGAATAGAATAGAGAACCCAGAAATAAAGCTGCACACCTACAGCCATCTAATCTTTGACAAGTCTACAAAAATAAGCAATGGGGAAAGGACTCTATTCAACAAATGGTGCTGGATAGCTAGCCAGCCATATGCAGAGGAATGAAATTGGACACCTACCTTTCACCATGTAAACAAACTAGCTCAAGATATTAAAGATTTAAATGTAAGACCTCAACCTATAATAATTCTAGAAGAAAACCTAGGAAACACCATTCTGGACCTCAACTTTGGGAAAAAAAATTACGACTTAAGCCTTCAAAAGCAATTACAACAAAGATAAAAATTGACAAGTGAGACCTACTTACTAAAGAGCTTCTGCACAGCAAAAGGCACTATCAACAGAGTAAACAGACAACCTACAGAATGGGAGAAAATATTTGGAGACTACACATCCAACAAAGGTCTAATATCCAGGATTTATAAGAAATTTAAACAAATTAACAAGCAAAAACCAAATAACCCCATTAAGAAATGGGTAAAAAAAAACATGAACAGACACTTCTCAAAAGAAGACATGCATTCAACCATATGAAACCAACAAGCATATGAAAAAATGTTCCATATCACTAACTATCAGAGAAATGCAAATAAAAACCACAATGAGGTATCATCTCACACCAGTCAGAATGTCTATTATTAAAATGTTGTAAAAGAACAGATGTTGATGAGGCTGCAGAAAAAAAGTGCTTATACACTGTTGGTGGGAATTTAAATTAGTTCAGCAACTGTAGAAAACAGTTTGGAGATTCCACAAAGAACTTAAAGCTACAATTCAACCCAGCAATCCCATTATTAGGTATATATCCAAAAGAAAACAAGTCATTCTACCAAGACACATGGACTCATATGTTCATTGTGGCACTAGTCACAATAACAAAGACATGGAATCAACTTGGGTGCCCATCAATGGTGGATTGGATAAAGAAAATATGGTACATATACACCATGAAATACTACACAGCCATGAAAAGAAGAAAATCATGTCCTTTGCAGCAACAAGGTGTGGTTGGAGGCCATTATCCTAAATGAATTAATGCAGAAACAGAAAACCAAATACTGCATGTTTTCATTTCTAAGTGGGAGCTAAACACTGGCTACTCATGAATATAAAGATAGCAACAATAGACATTGGAGACTACAAGTGAGGAGAGGGAATGAATGCATATGGGTTAAAAAACTAACTGTTGAGTACTATATTAAGTGCCTGAGCGACATGATTATTTGTGCCCCAATCCTCAGCATCATGCAATATACCCAAGTAACAAACCTCCACATGTATCCCAGAATTGAAAATAAAAGCTGAAAACAAAAATTATCAATCATTTAAAAATTTAAATAGTCATGTGATTTGACCAGAGTTCAATTATTTGTATCATATATATATATATATATATATTTTTTGTGATGGAGTCTTGCTCTTATCACCCAGCCTGGAGTGCAATGGCACGATCTTGGCTCACTGCAACCTCCCCCTTCTGGGTTCAAGTGATTCTCCTGCCTCAACCTCCCAAGTAGCTGGGATTACAGGCATGCAACACCATGCCCAGTTAATTTTTGTATTTTTTTAAGTAGAGACAGGTTTCACTATGTTGGCCAGGCTGGTCTCAAACTCCTGACCTCAGGTGATCCACCAGCCTCAGCCTCCCAAAGTGCTGGGATTACAGGTGTGAGCCACTGCACCCAGCCATTATAACTCTTTAATTATATGAAGTAATGGTTATTTTATAAAAGGCCTTTATATTGAAATATGTTTGAGTTCTGCTGAGTCAATAAATATATAAATATTAAAAAGAAAAAAATTAAAATTATAAATAATTGAAACATCTAGGACTAATTCTATTGCCCCAAGTAAATTCTCTCTTAAGTATTACCTTTTATTAATGAGGTAAGACATTTTACCTTCCATAAAATAGCAACTGGGCAGAAATCAAGAGGAATTATAAGGTGTACACTATACTATAAATTTCACACAAATAAAGCATAAAACTAAGGATAGATAGAGGCAAAATTATGAAATATTATAGATGGCAATATTATGAAATGTGGATTGCAATATTTTAAAATAAGGCACACAGGTTCAGTGTGATGGAGAGTCAAGAATAGGAGTTAAAGAGAAGATCATTGTCCATGAGAGCCACACCAGCACACTGGACTATGATGTTGCAAAGAATTCACCATGTATGCAACTGTAGATTTGTTGATTGGGTATAACTAGAACCTATCTTAATGCAATCATATTAAATAATTAAAAATTTTTCTCACATATAATACTAAGAGAAGATAAAGAAGGAGGAACAGTCTACTGAGAAAAGATAATCAAGTCCTGATCTTTTGAGATGTTTACATATCAAGAGAAAGGTTAAAAAAAAAAGTTTGAGAATGATGGTTTCCATGTTTCATCCATGTCCCTACAAAGGACATGACCTCATCATTTTTTATGGCTGCATAGTATTCCATGGTGTATATGTGCCACATTTTCTTAATCCAGTCTGTTGCGGGGTTGAGGGAGGGAGGAGGGATAGCATTAGGAGATATACCTAATGCTAAATGACAAGTTAATGGGTGCAGCACGCCAACATGGCACATGTATACATATGTAACAAACCTGCACGTTGTGCACATGTACCCTAAAACTTAAAGTATAATAAAAAATAAATAAATAACCTTTGATAGAGACAGAAAGTACATTGCAGACAGGTAGGAAAAATATCATAATGCTACATAAACCTAACTCAGAAACTGTTAAGGATTAGGGAGCGATCAATGGTGAGCATATGATTAGCAGTCTGTAAAAATATAAAGCTTTAGAGAGGTTTTACATGAATTTTGATGTTTTGGGTGAGTAACTGCCTCTGATGGTGGTCACCTCTATTCCACACAGGGACCTTTATGACTATGATATTTTGACAACAACAAAGCATTCCCACGGAACCATTGATTCCCACTTGTTCTGGTTAACAACTGGCCACAAAAACAACTCTCCACCCCTAACATTGAGCAAGCTTTCTTCTTTTGAAATACCCCCAAGCCATCAACTTGCACTTTTGAAGGGCTGCTGGTTGTAGCAGGAGACCAATTATATCTCCCTGCTTCCAAAAATCCCATGTGAATAGAATACTTGCCTGATCAGAGACTGTGGTTTTTCGTCTTTTCACTCTATAAAATTTATTCCTCTTTCTAACTCCCTTGAGACCCATGCTGAAATGTAAGTGATGACAGATGGGTTCTGTTGTTGAAAGCTTGTAAACAGCCTTTGTAAAAGTTGTAGTAAACTTAATTTTGACTTTGACATCAGTTGCAAAATACAACCCCACTCCAGAGAACACCTGCAGACAAAATGGACTCCCTGTGGCTAATGGAGACAGCTCAAATCAAAACAGGTTTGAGAGGCCATGACATGAGTGAGGGAACAGTCTTGTCAGAAAGTACAACCCATGACGAATATTATGCTTTGCAGTCCTGAACTGGAACAGTTCCTATATCCAAGGCCAAGATAAATTTCACAGAGACTTGTGGTTTTCAGCCTAAAAGCCACTCAATTAGGGTTCAACTGGCTCAACCAATCAAGGCTCAATTTTATCAACCAATCAGAACAAAAAATGTCTGAATTTTTCATTTGCATAAATGGATCTAATTGAGAACCTGGATGAAAACTTTCTCTATAAAAGCCAAACCCTTCCTTTGTTCTCTGGAGTGCAGTTTGCTTGTACTGAAGGCTGCATCTCCCCAATCTACAAATCGTTTCTTAGAAAATAAAAGCTCTCTTTTTAGCCTCTGAAAATCTCATGGTCTTTTATTAACAAACAAAAGGACTCATACATTTTAAAAATGAATAAATTTAAATATTGAATAAGTAACCACAAAGTGCCGAATCAACATAGTAGTAGCTGTTAATATTTTTATCATCTGCTATGATTAACAAAATTTCTTTGCTTAGTTTATTTACACTTCACCACAACTCAGAGAGACAATCACTCATAAAGAATATTAAAAGTCGGTTTTATATTTTTATTTATATTTTTCCAAGTTCTGTAAATGTCAACTATAACTTGAACTCCGGCCTTTTATTGCAAGATTTTTTTCCTTTATGAATTCACCACATTGCTTACTTTATATTACAATGGCAAAATTAAGATTTTGTTATTCAAAAATGAGAATGATGAGTTGAGAAATATCACAGAGTTGGCTTCTTGAGGGAACATTGATTTGGCTAGGGATTTTTAAAATGTGATATTCATTGATTGTGAAAAAACAGATGAAAAAATATCATTAGACCAGTGAAATTTGGGAAAACATTAAAATATGAATATGCTTTGCAGAATAATTTCTCAGTTTTAAATATAGAAAATGAGATAAAACTATATCATACGTTATATTTAACTTACATATTAAAGGATCAACAAAACACCAATTGTTGCATCTAAATTTGGTGACAGTTTCAGGGGTTTACAAATATAAACATAATATTCTTACTTATCATTTGTATGTTCACTCTGATAGACAAATCTGGCTTTTAATATCAATTTAGGAAGTTCTCATGTTTAATGTTTATTCTGTGTTGGTTAAATATTATTACAAAACTCTGAATCTACTAGTTTCTGGCCAGTAAAATACTGAAATAAGAAATCTGAATATTTGAACATTTAGAACATCAGCAGATTTGATCTGAACTTAATACTAAACACATATTTACCCCAAGCTACTGATTCAAAGTCAAATATTTTCAAAGGCACTGATCTCTTTATTTCTATTTTTCTAAATAAAATAGAAAGTAATTTGTTTTTTGAGACAGGGCTTTGCTCTGTTGCCTAGGCTGCTGTGCAGTGGTGTGATCATAGCTCACTGCAGCCTTTACCACTCAGGCTCAAGGGATCTTCCTGTCTCAGCTTCTCAAGTAGATGGGATTTAGCCACTATGCCCACCTAATTTTTAGATTTCCTCTTATATTTTTAGTGACTGGGCTTCACTGTGTTGTCCAGGCTAGTCTTGAACTCCTGCCTTAAGTGATCTTCCTGTGTCAGTCTCCTCAGTAGCCAGGGTTACAGGAATAAGCTGCAAATATCTTCATTATTGCATAATATGCTCTGGTATAATAATTCATAATTATGATTATCCATGTCTTTAAATGTGGCCTTTAGCAGTGTAGTGATGTTTTCGAAGATACGCGTTTATGGTCTAAATTCTGGCTGAGCCTAACATACAAGACAATTACTTTTTTCTTTTTAGAAGTTATAAACCTTTCTGTAATTATATTCTTCTTTCCCCAGGTCTTTATATTTCTTCTACTTGGCTATATTTTATCCACAAAAACCTACAAATTTGATCATATTATTACAAAGTTAAAATCTTCTTCTGACTTTAGGGTGAAATTCAAAACTCATTAGCACATAAAGGTTACATGTGGCATAGTAGAAAGATTGTAGTTTGGTGAAGCAATGAGAATTAAGAATAAATCTAGATTTGTCACTTCAATAGAATTCAATTTCTTAATCTTTGAGGTAGACATAATAATAGACAATTTACCGAATTGTCATATAGACTGGAGAAGAGTATGTTTATACAGAAGATATTATAGCAGATGCTCATAAACTGGTAGATAAGATTATATTCCTTAGCATGATACATTTATTAGTGTCTCTAGCCTTCACACACTATCACCTCTTGCCCATTAAAATAGATTTGTCTTGTTTTTGTGCTTTTCATTTTATGCTTTTTTTTTTTTGCAGTGTTTTGGTCTTTATGATCTAGCTCTCACTTATGATCTAGAGTGAAGGAAGGGTGAAGAGAAGAGACTACAGAGGTGTAGAGGAAAAGTGGGAATTTATTGATTGATGGTTTCATTACCAGGTTTCTTTTCATTGTGGTGAATATGAATAACAGATGTACCCTAGAGAATACAATTGTTTATTTCTGAGGCTATTAGAAAAATGGGGATCAAAAACCCTACAAAACAATGGGATTAGTCTTCAATTGGTATACAAGGCTTATAAAAGACTAAGCAGATTGAAAATTGCCACCTCTATAGATTGTTTGCAAAAAACAAACAAAAAGCTTAAGCAACAGACTAGACATTATAAATGAGGACTGTATTCTGACTAAACTAAACCTAACTGTTCCTTTTCTTTATTCATCTCTGCCTACATACTCTGAGTCCACTAATATTTTTGCTAAATTACCTGCCACCTTAAGGATAATATTTTAAAAGTTAAATAAGACAGATGCCTTGCAAAGTAAGACCTTTTGATCAGCCAAGTATTCTTGCTGTAATTACTTTCACTCCAAGATCTGGAACTGAGCTTAGAGCCATTGTAAAAAACTTCCCCGATCCAAGAAAAAGTCCTCAAATATTTACTGAGGAATTTGAAATTCTCATATGAGCTTATGATTCAAAACTCCCTGACTTTAAAACCTCCTCATAAAAAGTAACAAAAAGAGCTTAAAAAAGTATTAAAAACCTTTTAAATTCAATTCTAAAAGACTTCCATAAATTTTGATTGGTCCATAATACAACCTTCTGAATAAAAAAGAATAAACCAGTTTCAGATTACAGAATTTGCTTAGAAACACTGTTTGTAAAACATGCTGCACTCAAAATATGAAACAGAGGATTTCCTGTATGGATTAAAATGACATGAGCATTTTTAAATGGACTTAACAGTTTAATTAAACTAAATGTTACAGTTAAATTAAAATGTATTAATTGAGACAGAAAGTTACAGATATGACTCAATTTGTGACCTTAGCTAAACATTTTGAGAGAACTCAGGAGCAAGAAAAACTCAAAAGGTTAACAAGCTATGTCTCTGTAATTACAATAGTCGTAGAGGCTGGGACCAAAGAGACCTTCTTGTTCTTATTTTAAGTCATAATCAGAGGTCCTAAAACCAAGATTCTTTACCCTGAGATTTCTGCCTTTACTGTAAACAACGAAGACACTAAATATGAGATTGTCCACCAATAAACCTCCCTTTGGACTGCAGTGTTTCACCACTAGAGGGAACAAAAGAGATTCTTTTTAGCTGTCATGATGCTTATCAACATTGATTAGGCTCCAAGGGATTCTGAAATAAATTGCCTCCTGTAATACCCTTCAATAAACATAAATAAACCATGCCTAGGATAAAAGGGGAATTGTATACAATCATGGTGGATACTCGAGCCACCTTGTGTACTATAAACTATGCTTTATTGTATTTTATGTTATGTTTTCAGTCCATAAGCAACTTTTATTTATTTTGTCATTTTTAATGTTTATTAATCTCAACTTCTATTTTTAATTCAGAGGATACATGTGCAGGTTTGTTACATGGGAATATTGTGTGATGCCGAGGTTTAGGTATGAATCTCATCACCAGGTAGTGAGCATAGCACCCCATAGATAGGTTTTCAACTCACACCTCCACCCTCCTTCTTTCTGTAGAAGTCTCCAGTGTCTATTGTTCCTATCTTTATGAACATGTGTGCTCAATTATTAGCTCCCACTTATAAGTGAGAACATGTGGTATTTGGTTTTCTGTTTCTATGTTAATTTGTTTAGGATAATGACTACTAGCTCCATAAATATTTTTAAAAGGACATGATTTTGTTCTTTTCCATGGCTACACGGTATTCCATGGTCTATATGTACTACATTTTCTTTATCCAATCCATCAAAGATGGGCACCTAGGTTGATTTCATATCTTTGCTATTGTGAATAGTGCTGCAATAAACATATAAGTACATGTGTCTTTTCAGTAGAATGGCTTATTTTCTTTGGGGTATATTCCCATTAATGAAATTGCTGGGATCCCACTTTAATAAGCCAACAAATTCATCAAAGTAAAAAGATTGTGAGGGTTTCAAATCAAGTTCTAGAGATTCCCATATCTAAACACATTCAATTAACTTTGGAAACTTTGTTCTAAAAAAAAATACCTTTTTACCATGTGATACTGCTCCAGTAAACTTACTGTGGTGAGACTTATGTGCAAACTAGAAAGAAACATAAAATTCTTCTCAGGGAGAAATAATCTTAGAGTTTTTTGAGTTTCCCAAAACATAACTCTTATGCTCTCTACAAACAGAAATTAATGAAATCAAAACTCAGGCTTATAATACCCCTGTCCTTTCAAAAATACCTAAATGTTTATGGGCCTTTTCCTCAATTAGTATAAAAAATAATAATGTAAACCTATAAAAACAAATAGAACATTTTAAATCTTTGCATAAATTATCCCAATATTCACTAATATCCAAAACAGTTCAAGGACTTTCACCAATTGCGTAAGATTTAATCAAACAAAGATTTATAATTCCATACACAAGTCCTTGTAACACTTCAATCCTAGCAGTTAAAAATCCAAATAGTGAAATTATCCCAATATTCACTAATATCCAAAACAGTTCAAGGACTTTCACCAATTGCGTAAGATTTAATCAAACAAAGATTTATGATTCCATACACAAGTCCTTGTAACACTTCAATCCTAGCAGTTAAAAATCCAAATAGATGAGACTGGAAATTTGTTCAAGATTTATGGGCAATTAATAAAATTGTAATACCATTTTTTCAAGATGGCTGACTAGAGATGTAGGACTCCAGTTCTTCTCAGAAAAAAGAACCAAAGTTAAAGAGGAACTATCATGGCCCAAGTGGAATACTGAAGGAAGAGTGCTGGAACCAACTGGAGAACCCGTGGAGGAAAAGCGAGGCACAGAATAATGAAGGAAGCAAAAAGTTGACAGAGAAAGTTCTCTAAGGAACTTGGAGTCCTGTGGAGAGGGTAGGCGGAGATCCTTGTTTGCCCTCTCATCCCTGAAGCAGACTATGGACTGCCATACTGTTGGATAGCCCCTCTAACCTCGCAAGCGCAGGCACTATTGTTAGCAATGATTTGGGGATATATTGAGAGCAGGGCACCAGGCTGTCAGCTCAACCGATTTGCTCACCTTCACTTAAAACCAGAACTAAGGCAATGGGTACAATATTGGTTGTGCACTTGTTGGGGCCACTATCCTGCCTAGGGGATCTCAGACCTTGTGTTTCCAAATAGCTAGATCTCCTGAAAACATTTCTCAGAACTTACAGAAACTGTGACAACCACAGATTACTGGTGGGATCCTGGGGAGCAACAGAATTCCTAGAAGACTAGCCTTCATGGCATGCTGCCCCTAGGAGAAAGTTAAATGCAACATGGGAAAGTGCTTCTTGTGACAAAAGAATTTTTTTTTGCTCAAGAGCTCTCTACTTGTGAGCAGAAAAATACCATGACCCTCACTGTAGAGACATGGGCATGATGCTGCACTCTGTAACAGAGGAGTGTTGCCCTACTCTAGCGGCCAGGTTGCTCCAGTACTCATGCCACCCCAACACACACATACGAAGATAAAAGTGGAGGGGGGACATCTCTTACCCACCCACTGCTATGAATATAGCCATGGTTGCTCCTAATGGGGGTTGGTGCAACTGCAACTGTGACAGACATTTCCGATCTATTGAGAGTAGCTGTGCCCCCACTGATGATGGATCCACAAGCCCAGGCTTACGTGAAGGACAGGGCCTATCCCACATGCTATGCAGAGTGCCAGTGCTCTTGCAGCATAGTGCAACAAGACACAGAGCCATCTCTTTTGAACTGAGCAAAAAGGTTCCACTCTGAGGCCATGTGGGTAATAGCCACAGGATTGGCATTTTCAGTGGACCTCTGTTGCATACAGCCTGTAGATAAAAGACATGTCACAAGCCCGGGGACAAAGGTATGATAGTGAAGATCATGTTCCTTCCTTCTTAGGAGGTGAAGCTGGTGCAGCCTCTTTCTTCCCCTGGCAGAGACCTTGGTGCAATTCACCAAGAGCTCCCCTTACAATTCCTATCAATGTAGGTGCTTCCATTTGTCACTGGAGTATTGAAGGACAAGCTTGGTGGTCCAGTTCTGCTCATCTTTGTCCACTCAAACCAGGGTTGAACAGGAAACTCATGGCATGAGGTAATTCATAGACTAGCCAACAACCTGTGACAACAGCAATCCCTTACCTGTAAAAAAGAGCAAATAACATACCCATTGGCTCTTGCCAAAGCTCTTACTCAAAAGTGCCACTTACTGGAATGTAGACTGAACTGCACAACCAAATAAAAAAAACCTGTGTAGAAGGGCATAGTAGTAGGGAATGAAATAAGTTTCCTGAGACCTCTGTACTCCCAGTCCTGAAAAAGTGTGCTCATATGTTCAGTACATTGCTATTATAATAAGCATTTGAGAAAGCTTCTGCACAAAAGCTATCTATAACTAAGAAGCTCACACAGAGTCTTGGCTTCCTGGAATCGCCTAGAGTCAAAGTAAAGGATCATACACAGCATACATTGCAGTCACCCTTCAGGAGGAAAAATAGTGTCATCCAAAATGTAAGTAAATTTAAAAACAAGAATAGATAGCTTATCAAGATAAGAAGAAGTCAGCATGAGAACTCTGACTGTGTAAAAAAACATAGTGTTTTGAAACCACCAAAGGATAAGACTAGCTCTCTAGCAATGTACCCTAAAAAATAATAATTCTGAAATGAAAGGTAAAGAATTCAAAATGTAGATTGTAAGAAAGCCCAATGAGATCCAAAAGAAAGGTGAAAATCAAAACAATAAATCAGAAAAACAGTAAAGGATATGAATTAAAAATGTATTAAAAAGATAGATATTTACAACCTTCCAGAACTTCTGGAAATAAAAAATGCACTGAAGAAATTACAAACTACAGTTGAAAGTTCCAATACTAGATTAGACCAAACAGAAGAAAGCATTTCAGAGCTTGAAGACTGGTTCTTCAAATTAACCCAGTCAGACAAAAATAAGGAAAAAGGAATTTTAAGAAATGAACAAAGCCTTTAACAAATATGAGTTACATGAAGTGGCCAAACCTACTGATATGGTTTGGATGTTTGTTCCACCAAATATCATGACAAATCAAAGTCCTCATTGTTGGAGGTGGGGCCCGATAAGAGGTGATTTAATCATGGAGGTGGATTTCTCATTAATGGTTTAGTACCACCCCATTGGGGCTGTTATCATGATAGTGAGTGATTCTCGTGAGATCTGGGTGTTTAAAAGTGTGCAGCACCTCCCCACTTTCTCTTTTCCTTTTGCTCAGTCATGTAAAGTGTAAGCTCTCCTTTTATCTTCTGCCATGATTATGAGTTCCCTGAGGCCTCCCCAGAAGCCAAGCAAAAGCTGCTCTGCTTCCTGTATAGCCTGCAGAACCATGAGGCAATTAAACCACTTTTCTTCATAAATTACCCATTCTCAGGTATTTATTTATAGCAATGAAAGAACAGACTAATAAACCTACCAAATGTAGCTATTCCTGAAAAAAAAAGAAAAGTATGTGAAAAGCTTGGGAAACTTTTTTTGAGGGAGTAATTTAGAAAACCTTCTCTGGTTTTGCTAGGTAATTAGACATCCAGATACAAGAAGTTGAAAGAACATCTGGAAGATGCACTGCAAGATGAACCTGTTCAAGACCTATAGTTATATCAGACTATCCAAAGTCAACATGAAGAAAAAAAATTCTAAAAGCAGCAAGAGAGAAGTGTCTAATCACTTATAATGGAAAAGCCATCAGACTAACACCAGACTTCTCTGTAGAAATCTTATGAGCCAGAACAGATTAGAGGACTATTTTTAATATTAAATAAACAGAAACAACTGCCAGGCAGTAATTTTGTATCTTGACAAACTAAGCTTCCTAAATGAAGGAGAAATAAAGTCTTTTCCAGATAAGAAAATGGTAAGAGAATATTTCACCACTAGACTAATCCTGAAAGAAATACTAAAAGGAGTTCTAAACATGAAAACAAATGAATGATACAATCATAAAGCACATGAATGTACAAAATTCACGAATCATATAATGCACAATTATGTAAAGCACAAAAAATACACAATTGAGACTATAAAGCAACTAGGTAATAATTACCATTATAACAGGAACAAAATCTCATATCTCAATATTAACATTGAATGCAAATCAAATAAATATTCTACTTAAAAGGTGTAGACTGGCAGATTGCATTAAAAAAATTAGATCTAATGATATGCTTACAAGAAACCCTCCTAATGATAAAGACCTTCACAGATTTAAAGTAAATGGATGAAAAAGATATTCCATGCAAACAGAAAACAAAGGCAAGCAGGAGTAACTATTTTTATATCAGATAAAATAGGCTTTAAATCAACAACAGTTAAAAAAAAAAGATGAAAAAGTCACTATATAATGATAAAAGTATCAATTCAACAATAAGTTATTACATACCTAAATATATACATGCCTAACACTGGAGTAGCCAGGTTCTTAAAACAAACACCACCTGACATAAGAAAAGAGATAAAAAACAAGATAATAATAGTAGGAGACTGTAACATCCCAATGATGGTAACAGAAAGATCATCTAGGCAGAACATCAAAAAAAGAAATGACTTAAACTGGACTCTGGACCAAAAGGACCTAATTAGACATTTACACAAGATTCTACTCAACGAATGCAAAATACATTTTTCTCATCTTCTCATGGAACTTATCCAAAATAGACCATATATTTGGCCATAAAGCATATCTCAATAAAGTTAAAAAAAAACTAAGATTATATTAGATACCTTCTCAGACTACAGTGGAATGAAACTAGAAGTCAATACTAAGACAAATCTCAAAACTGTACAAATATATGGAAGTTACACAATTTGCTCCTGAACATTCTTTGGGTAAAAACATAAAATTAGCCAGGTGCAGTGGCTCATGCTTGTAATCCCAGCAATTTGGGAGGCCAAGGAGGGTGGATCACTTGAAGTTGAGGGCAGTAGTTTGAGATCAACCTGGCCAATATGGTGAAACCATATCTACTAAAAATACAAAAATTAGCTGGGCATGGTGGCACACACCTGTAATCCCAGCTACTCGGAAGGCTGAAGCACAAGAATCACTCGATGATGGGGGGTGGAGTTTGCAGTGAGCTGAGATGATGCCACTGTACTCTAGCATGGGCAACAAAGCAAGACCCTGTCTCAAAAAAAAAGAAGAAAGAAAAAATAAATGATGTGAAAAATCAAAATATAATTTGAAAGGAATGAAAACAGAGAAACAACATATCAAAATATGTTACAGATACAGCAAAAGCAGTAATAAAAGAAAAGTATATAGCATTAAATGCCTATATGAAAAAGATGAAAAGATTTAAGTTTCAAGTGTTGCATCTCAGGGAACTAGAAAAACAAGAAAAAATCAAACTCAAAGCTAACAGGAAAAAAAATAACAGAGATTAGACCAGAATTAATGATAATGATACAAAAAGCACTAAGCAAAGAATCAACAAAACAGAAAGCTGATTTTCTGAAAAGATAAACAAAATCAGTAGACTACTCACTAGATTAACAAAGTAAAAAGAGATAAGATCCAAATAAGAGCAAACATGAATGATAAATGCAACATTACAACTGATAACAGAAATAACAAAAGATCATCAGAAACTACTGTGAATATCTCCTTGTGCCCAATGAGAAAAACTAAAGGATTGATAAATTTCTGGAAAAATATACCCTCCCATTTTTGAGCCAGGTAGAAATAAAAATCCTTAACAGACCGATAACAGGTAATGGAATTGAATCAGTAATAAAAACAACCTACCAATCAAAATAAGCTCAATACCAAATGAGTTCACAGCCAAAAAGAGTTCATACCAATCTTCCTGAAATGATTCCAAAAGATAAAGGAGGAAGGACTCCTCCCTAAGGAATTATATGAAACCGGCGTCATCCTAATACCAAAATCAGTCAAGGACAAAACAATAAAATAAAACTACAGGCCAATATCCCTGATGAATATGGATGCAATAATCAACAAAATCACAGTGAATTGAATTCAATAGTACTTCTAAAAGATAATTCACTACAATCAAGTGTATTTTATCACAAGGATGTAAGGATGGCTAAACATACAAAATCAATAAGTGTGATTCACCACATGAACAGAATTAAAAACAAAAACCATATGATCACCTTAATAGATGCAAGAAAACATTAGATAAAATTCAACATCCCTTGATGTTAAAAATCCAGAACAAATGAGGCATCAAATAAACATGCCTCAAAATAAAAAAAGCCATATATGGCAGATCCAGAGTGAACATCATATTGAATGGTGGAAAGTTAAAATCATTCACACTAAGCACTGAAAGAAGACATAGATTCTATTTTCCTGAGTCCTATTCAACATAGTACTGGAAGTACTAGTCATAGCAATCACCAAGAGAGAGAGAAGAAAGAGAAGGCTTCCACATTAGATAAAAAGTCAAATTATCTCTGTTCATCAGGGATACAATCTTATACTTAGAAAATCCTAAAGACTCTGCAAAAGACTCCTAGATTTGACATTTGACTTCAGTAAAGTTTCGGGATACAAAATCATCTTACAAAAATCAGTACCATTTTACACATCAACAATGTTCAAGCCGACAATCAACAACTTAATCTCATTTACAATAGCTACAAATATAAATAAATGTAATACCTAGGTATAGATTTAACAAAGAAGGTGAAAGATCTTTACAAGTAGAACTACTTGAATGAAAACACCAATGAAATATAGATGACACAAAAAAGAGAAAAACTTTTCATTATTATTGATTGGAAGAATAAATATCATTAAAATGGCCATATGCTCACAGTGATATATACATTCACCACAACTCCTATAAAATTAAAAATGTCATTTTTCACATAATTAGAAAAAGTATTTGCAAATTCATATGAAACCAAGAAAGAGCCCAAATAGCCAAAGCAATTCTAAGCCAAAACAACAAAGCTAGAGGCATTACATTATCTGACTTGAAATTATACGGCAAAGTTATATTAACTAACACAGGAGGGCAGTGGTAGAAATATAGGCATATATATCACTGTAACAGAATAGCGAACCCATCAATAAAGCCACACACCTATAATCAACTAATCTTTGACAAAGTTGTCAAAAATATACACTGGGGAAAGGATATCCTATTCAATAAGGAGTGCTGAGAAAATTGGATAGCCATATGCAGAACAAAACTGGACCCCTACCTCTCAACGTATATAAAAATTAATGAAAGAAAATAGATTAAATATTTTAAACTTAAGACCTCAAACTACTAAAATCCTAGAAGAAAACCTAGGAAACACTCTTCTGGACGTTGACCTAGGCAAAGAATTCATGACTTAAAAGCAAGTACAACAAAAACAAAAATAAACAAATGGGATTTAATTAAACTGAAAAACTTCTGTGAGGCAAAGGAAATAATCAAAAGAATAAACAGACAACTTACAGAATGGAAGAAAATATTTTCAAACTGTGTATCTGACAAAAGACCAACAGTCAGAATTTACAAGGAACTCAAACACTTCAAAAAAGAAACAACAAATAACTCCGTTAAAACGTAGGCAATGGACATAAATAGTCATTTCTCAAAAGAAGATGTATTAGTGGCCAACACACATTTGAAAATATATTCAATAAAACTAATCATCAGAGAAATGCAATTAAAACCACAATGAGATACCATCTTAACAACAGTCAGAATGGCTATTATTAAAATGTCAAAAATATGTTGGCGAGGATACGGAGAAAAGGGAACACTTATACACTGTTGGTAGGAATGTAAATTAGTACAATTGCTATGAAAAACAGTATGGTGATTTCTCAAAGAACTAAAAGTATAACTAATGTAACTCAGCAATCCAACTACTGAGTTCTGCCAGAAGGAAAGAAATCATTGTACCAAAAAGACACCTTCACTCCTATGTTTATTGCAGCAATATTCACAGTAGCCAAGTCATAAAATCAACTGAAGTGTCCATCAATGGATGATTGGATTAAAAAATGTGCTGAGATACTACACAGTTGTAAAAAGCAGAAATAAAAAAGTTTTTTGCAGCAACATAGATTGAGCTGGAGGCCATTATCCTAATTAAAATAGCTCAGGGTAAAAATAAATAAATAAATAAATAGGAACAGAAAATCAAATACTGCATGTTCTCTCCTATGAATGGGAGCTAAACAAAGGGTACTCATGGACATACAGAGGGCAATAATAGAAACTGGGAACTCCAAAAGTGGAGAGATTGGGAGACAGGATGAATTGGAAAATTATCTTTTTGGTACTGATAGATGCAGGATGCAGATAAGGGAGGGTCCTCAGAAAATCTCTGACCCACCCCACAAGTGTTTACATCAGACGCTTTTGTGAGGATGAGGGAAACTGCCCAGGGCCTTGTCTGGGCATTCCCACAACAGACTAGGGGCCCTCTTGTGTACTGCGAGAGTTGTGGGGAGCAACTGGGAATTCATACATTATGCAGTGGGGAGGATCCTGGCCTCTTCAACTCCTATATAGTGGCCTGGTATTCAATCTGTGAGGTGGGAGACCATTGGCAGGACACTCTCTTTCTTTGCTGAGAATTTTCTTTCCTTTTAATAAATTCTGCTCTCACCTTTTCAGTATGGTCACGTGCTTAATTTTTCCTGGTTGTGAGACAAGAACCCGGATTTTAACTGAAGTAAGGAGCAAAAATCTTGCCTCAGTACAATGTTTACATTCAGGGGATGAGCATACTAAAAGCTCAGAGTTTACACACAATATATCCATGTAACAAAACTTCACGTGCACCCTTTAAATCCATTTATAACATGTGATGCCAAGATTTCATGTATTCCCAAATCACACTACTTTATTATCTGATGTACCTGCTCATTTCAAGAAGTTTGCAGTAGCAGAACTCTGGTTGCCCTTCATCATTACAGTTTATAAAGACAGTCTATACTTGTTTGCCTTTACTTAGAAAAAACAAATCAACGGTGCACAAGGGTAGTGCCACAAGGGTTTACAGAGCCCTTCATATTTTTCCCAGACAGTGCATCAGAACCTAATAACTGTACAGTCCTTAAAATTCTGTGCTCATTGTGTGTTGTCTATGACCAAGCGTTATCCTATCCCACTAAAGAGTACCCCAAATTTGACTCCATTTACCTATTACAACTCACACGGTAAAGGCATAAGGCTTCAAAAAAAATCTTCAGTTTTCAAGAAAAAACGTTCCATTCTTTGAAACGTGACTTCACTGCTAAAGTGATTTCCCCTCTCACCCCCGCGGATAAAAACTATTCAAAGTTGCCTTGGCCTACAAGCAAAAGACAATTGAGAGATTTCCTTAGATTTATGGATACTACAGACCATAGGTTCCAAACTTTTCTTTCCTTTCCTTTTTTTTTTTTTTTTTGAGATGGAGTTTCACTCTTGTTGCCCAGGCTGGAGTGCAAAGTCACGATCTCAGCTCACTGCAACCTCCGCCTCCTGGGTTCAAGCGATTTTCCTGCCTCAGCCTCCTGAGTAGCTGGGATTACAGCCACTCTTCACCACACCCAGCTAAATTTCTTGTATTTTTAGTAGAGATGGGGTTTCACCATGCTGGCCAGGCTGGTCTCAAACTCCTAATCTCTGGTGATCTACCTGTCTCAGCCTCCCAAAGTGTTGAGATTATAGGTGTGAGCCACCACGCTGGCCAGTTCTAAACTTTTCTTAATGTGTTTGTCATTATATGAACCTACTAAATTCAGAATATTAGAGCTTTGGCCTTGGAAACAGAATCATAAACAGGCTTTTAGCCAAATAAAATTGGTCTTATAACAGCCTTTGGGTTTCACACTTGCAAATTACACTAAACCTTTTACCTTGTTTATTTATAAACATAACAATCAGACATTAACAGTTTTTACCCAAGAAACTTGGGGGAAAACCTAGGTCCATTACATATTATAGCCTGCAGTAAGACCTATGAACTAAGACACATCCTAATTGTTTCAAAACAGTAACAACAATCACCAGTCACCAAGTTGATAAAAGCTTCATCTGAGCTGGTTTTGTGAAATAATCTGAATTTACAATCTTACATACTATAAAAGTCTGCTAAATTCCAAATATATCCAACAATTTTCAGTAAGCAGTCTAACATGTTATAAAATTCTCAGTCTCCTTCTAATCTCCATCTAAAATGCCACAATCTACTTGATTCTACTACTCTATTGCCGCTGCCTGATGAGGGTAAAGGCCACAGCTGTGTAAGTACAGTATCTGAAATAGTGGGCCCTCATGTTGGTTTATGAAATACTCCACTGAGTTAATACTTTTTGTTAATAGGTTCTATTCCAAAAACTCAAAAGAGAAATATCAGGCAGGATATAATGTTACTACCTAAAATGAGCTAATAGGAAAAAATGAAGCAAACAAAAATCTTCTTTAAATCAGCTCAATCCACAGTGCTTTTTGCTATCTCCAGAGCTTGTTATATAACTAAGAACAAGTCAATAAATATTTATACAGACAACAGATATACTTTTAGAATAATAACATATTTTGACATAATATAAAATCATCAAGGGCTTCTCCCTTCTAGTCATACCCCATCAGAAATAGACACCATGTTAGATAATTTTTTTCCACTCTTCTGTTACCATCACAAATTATTTAGATTAAAGCTCATACCTATAAAACTCAGCCTAAATATCAAGAAAGTGCTTTAACAAATTTTTCTGCTAAATCAGCTAGGACCAAAACTGTTAGGATATACAATCTAAATGAACTTCATAAGATTACATCAATTCAACTTGTTTATAAAAATCTACTTAATAAATAGAATAATACACATTATTTAAAAAAAGAAAATTGATATCTATAAAAGTATAAATTCAATGTTCAATGTAGAGACACAAAAAGCCAGGATAGCCACCTGTCCTTTCTGTCTTTAAAGCTTCCATCATTAAAAACTCTACATTCCACAACTCATCATAAAACAGACACAATTATTCAATTATATTAAAAATTAATAGAATAGTCCAAATTTCTAAAATAGTTTATAACCAATATTTGATTTGCTAAACTCATAATCCTAAAAAAAAAATCTACACTTCAGATTGTATATACCTACTCCCTAATGAACCATTTACACATGTCCAGATGGACTTCTTCCAGTTGCCACCCTCAATGGAGTATTGGTATATTTTTATGATTGTTTATATTGTTGTAACCGAGCGAGTTATAGAGAAATGCCACACTCTGAGACTAATTCAGAGTCCTTTATTGCCGGCGAATGAGAGACGGCTAGAGCTCAAAAATTCTCTCGGCCCTGAAGAAGGGGCTAGATTTCTTTTTATACCTTGGTCTAAAAAGGGGAGGGGGAGTCTAGCTGAAGCAATTTTACAGAAGCAGAACAGGCAAAAAGTTAAAGATAAATGATTACAGAAACAGTTACAGAAAAAACAGTTCCAAATGCAGGGGCTTAAACTATCACAAAGAGATAAATGCATGGGCTTTGGGTACCATCAACCGAGCGCGTTCCCAGGGGCTGCTGGTACAGCTTGCCTCAGTATCTTATGAGCAAGTGCATTCCTGGATGTGCTTGGAGTCAGCTTGCACCAGTTATGTCCTTAAGGGAGGGGGATAGGGGGCGGCAAGTGAAGAAACCAAAATGGAGTCTGTCCGGCTCTCTCAGCTAAGTGAGAGTCAATCAGGTTAAAACAAGGCAGTGTATCACAATATATCTTCTGGTTGGGTAAAGACTTTCCATATAAAAAAGCCAATCCTGTGACAATAGCTGAAAAATTATTAAAACTTGTTTCTTTTATGAGATATTCCTAAAAATAATCTCCAGCAATGGGCAACGCATTTTACTAGACAAGTTATAAAACAGTTAAATAAGGTGTTACAAACACAATGACACTACCATTGTCCTTATCATGCTCAACATTCTAAAAAGGTTAAAAATATGGCATCTTAAAACTAACATTCACAAAGTTAATCAAATGGGTTGCCTTGACCAAAGATATGATCATCGGCTTTAGTGACAATCAAATTCACTCCCACTAAAAAAACTAAGTAAAGACCTTATAAAATAGGTCCCACTGAAAGGGCTATACCTCTAGTAATAGAATCCAATAAAGGGCTCCCACTAAAAAGGCTGCACCTCTAATAATAGAACCTTATTTATCTCCCAATCTCCTAAACCCTAATGTACTACAATCCTTTGCTACATTTTGCCAAACTATACTTTCACAAGGAAAAAAAAATCGAAATACACTAGAGACATTCAAATCCTCTAAGGTCTGAAACCTGGAGATTGGGTTATCTAAAAATAACATCAGAAAAAGGCTGCCCTTAAACTGTATTAAAATGAACCACATCAAGTTCTTCTGACCAACCACACTACAGTAACTCTTCAGAGCCTTAAGCCTTGGGTCTACCTCTCACAACTCCAAAGGGCCCTTCAGACTCCTAAAACTATATACCTGTTTGAGACTTTAAGATAAAATATACCAAAAATTTCCTCCCAGAAGCAGACGGCATCCTAGATGTGGACAGCTTTCTCAAAATCATAGATCAAGATGTCTCTGTCACCATAATAAACTTCATCCTTTTTTTTTGTTTCCTTTCCCTATTAAAAAAATCCATTGGAGCATAATTGATGAATACCTTTAGCTAGAACTTATGCTGTAGCATGCAACTAGAATAGCTGTCAGGTTTACAAGCCAATATAAACAATCAAAAAACTTTCCACTAATGCCAATGCATCTTCACATTCCCAATGAGAGTCACTCCAAAACGCCAAAGTAAATAAATAAATAGCTATCAATATTCTAAACATCACTGCAACTTTTCGTTTGTTCACTAAAACAACGCTAACTTTTCCAATTAAAAATCTTGTTACCATATATAATATATATTTTTCCAATTAAAAACCTTGTTACCAAATATATATATAACTATATATATAGTTTTTCTAGATAATATATATTATATATTTTTATAGTTATATATATATTTATATATAGTTTTATATATATGTGTATATATATACAAAAAACTAATACAAGTGGTGCCTACAAAGAGTACACTGTGCTTTCCGATGTCACACACTGAAGACTTAAAAATTGCCTGTTTGGATATAAACAATTACTTATACTATGTTACTAGGAATAAGGTCTCTTTTTACAAAATTTGATTATGCACTCTTACAACCTACTATAAATGGTCACAAAAAGTAAATTTATCGCTAGTTTTTTTTTTTTCCAGAGCAAAACAGATGTATAGGCAAACAAATCTAACTGACCTCTATCAAATACAACTAGGTGTCCGCTTCTAGACGCCCAGAAGACCTATATATGTTCTGTAAAGAATATACTTATTTCATTTTGCCTCCTTGCTGGTTTGGATCTTGCTATTTGGCTTAACTTGCTCCTGCCTTTAAAATAACTTTCCGTATAAATTCTCATAAGAGCTTCTATGAGCAGAGGACAAAATGTCAATAACCAAACTTAACTCTAGCCCTATCATAGACAAAATAAGCCAGTTTCAACTAAAAAAAAAAATTCCAGTGGGGTTCCTGAGGACTCTCTTTTGATGATAGTGCGGTACCACTTATATAAAATTCAGTGCTAATTTGTATATTTTAAAACATCTTAAATTTTTAACAATCGGAACCTCCAGGATTTTGTATGGATTATAGCCACTCTTGAAAAGGTAGATGTGAACAGTTGTATTTAAAAATAATAATAATAATAACAAAACATCATAGAACTTCAAATCTCCTTTTTACTCAAGTTTGGGACCTATCTCTAATATTAAACATAACTAAATAATATATTTATCTCTGCCTAATTTTGTTACTACAAAATACTTAATTAAAATGGTCACTAATACGATTTCCTTAAACACTGTTACCAAAAACATTTTTAAAAATCTCTCTCAAAAAATAGCATATAATGTGTTTCTAAAACAACTAACAGTTAATTTTGAGACACTCTAAATGACAAATGACAAGTTTAAGTTTTCCAAGGTTTTCTGATCTTTATATTTCTTCTAATAACTCTCCAGGTTATTATTATTTGTGTTACCAGAGTAGCAATGAATACCTCTTTAAGCCAAGTCGCTTTACAGCAAACTATGATCCTTAATTGCCTTCACACTCCAAAGATTATGACCAATTAGACTCTAATACTGTTAAACTGCCTATTTGCCTAAACGTTGACTTCTTTAGTTTGGTTTGTTTCACAAAAACTCTTGTTAAAGAATGTACTTTGATATTTTGATATTATCCTGTTGACAGTCATCAAAGTAGGCCCCCTAATGCATTATATCCTCTCAAGTCTTTAATGTTTTATATACAATCATCCATCAAAAATTAAATAGTCTCACTTCAAATTGGTCAACATAAACATAAAAAGTCATTCAAATGACCTAAAACTGTGACTTACAAACTCCAAAGACTATGACCAAGAAAGACTTATAAGCTCCACACTAAAACCAAATAATAATTTACAGTAGTGACAGAGAGTGAAGTCAGTTCCTAAAGTTTTAGTAGGTCTCTCAACCGAGAGACTAATAAAAAAAAAAATTGTTAAGTCAAACTAAAATCTGGCCTGAGAGCTTCTCCATACTGACATACTTGACGTGTTACCAAGCTTAATAAGTGAACAAATGAAAAACACAAATTTAAGCATATGCTTCTATAACAATAACTGAGTCTCAGCTAATCCCAACAATCATAATTCAACCATGCAGAGGTAGACAATTGTTCAAACTGTGTTCAAATAGAACAAATGCCAGCCTATTACCAATCAGACAGTTTCTGTACCTCACTTTCATTTTATACACCTCAATTTCTTTTTTCTGTCCATAATTTCTCTCAAACCATGTGACAGCACCAGAGTCCTTCTGAATCTGCTATGATTCTGAGGGCTGCCCAATTTATAAATCTTTTTCTTACTCAATTAAACCCTGTTGAAAACTAAATTTATCTAGAGTTCTTTTAACAACTTCAACATATGAATTTTGAGGAAACACAATTCAGTCCGTAAAACTTACTCAATTGATACTTAACATTCCTGAAAGGAATATCTGACTGAACAAACACAGATTTAGATTTCTATATATGAGATGTAGCTGTTGTTAACATAACACATTTTTAAAAAAATTTTCTAACTACGAATGGTTCTACCATTTCACGTAGCTAAATCAACACAAAGATTTATGATTGGCATCGTATTTATCAGCCATTCTTTTTTTGTGTGTCTATTGAGACCTCATCTCAGTCTTTTGAATCCTGAAGGTTAAATTATAATGGTATCCACTATCATATACTCTAATTTTAAAAGTGTGAAAAAGGCCAAAAGAGGAAAAGTGCTTATGTTTCACAAATATGGCACAGCTTAGAAGACCATACAAATAGGCAAAATACTATTTTAGACATGCAAGTATATGATTTTATATGATTTTAGTTTATATTTAAATAATCTTTTGGCAGACCTATTCAATGATTTTTTTTTTTTTTTTTTTTTTGAGACGGAGTCTCGCTCTGTCCCCCAGGCTGGAGTGTAGTGGTGTGATCTCGGCTCACTGCAAGCTCTGCCTCCTGGGTTCCCACCATTCTCCTGCCTCAACCTCCCGGGTAGCTAGGACTACAGGCCCCTGCCACCACACCCGGCTATTTTTTTGTATTTTTAGTAGAGACAGGGTTTCACCGTATTAGCCAGGATGGTCTGGATCTCCTGACCTCATGATCTGCCCGTCTTGGCCTCCGAAAGTGCTGGGATTACAGGCGTGAGGCACTGCGCCCGGCCTTCAATGATTTGTTAAACAAACTAATGACTGATAATTACATTTGGATATATCAAAGTCCAGTCACCAATGACCTTAACAAAATAATGAATTAGGATCTGACTGCAATGGGTTTATGAAATAAAAGGCGATATTGTATACAATAATCAGACAATTATTGAGGGATATTTTCCTCAGAGAAAGTACAATGGGTAATTAGCTAGAGGAAGATGTAAAATTAAGGAAGAATTGTCTTTGTTTATTTTTAATGTGGGAGAAATGATCACTTTTGTATTCTAATGGAAATGATCAATTAAGAACAAAAATTGATAGTTCAAAAGAGAGAGAAAACATTTTCTATAGTAATGATCTCAACTATGTATGAAAAACTGTATCTCCAATGTATGAGCGAAGTTAATCTTAGAAGTCAGTGAGATTGGACTACTAAGACTTCATACAAGTGGGTGCTTTGGAATAATACCTTAAGCTGGAAAAGAAAAATCCGTTTTAAACACAAGAATGACATTACAAATCATCTCGATTTTCATTAGGGTCCTTTATTTTCAAAATATTTTTCTGGGATTGTTTACCTCATTCATCTTTCAACCTATAATTTAGCTCAGAAAATTTTTAAGGTAGGAAAAATTAATTTTGAAGAAATTATTTTTATCCCCAGGATTATTCAGTAAAATACATAGTTTCAAAATTTATCTCACATCTATAGAATCTATCTGGCATTGCTTTTCAATTGATTTCATGTATTGATTGCTATGTATAAATTGTCCTTCTGAAACATTCATATGTTCTTTTCATGTACTATATATATTTGATTGATGTATATAATTACTTCCATTGTTAAATTTCTTACCCCTATCTTTTCTGAATCTAATTTCCTGCCATCTAAATTATCACTTAATTATCATTAAATTTATATTGCTTATATTTTATATGAGAAAAATGTATACATTTTCATAAATGGCCTTATCTATCCTATATCATTTAATCAACATATACAAAATACAAACATCTGATTATATAAAGAAAAATAATATATTTTAAATATTGTCAAAATATCAAGGGCAGAAATATTTTGGTATACAGTATGATTTTATATTTTACTCTCTAATAAGTATATAGTCTTTATTTGACTCAACACATTTAGAAATCTATACAACATAGTATTACCTTTATCAAAATTTCATTAAGGCCAGGTATTATAATGAGATGTACCACTATAATTACTACTTACTTCCTGCCGGGGGCTGTGGCTCATGCCTCTAATCCCTGCACTTTGGGAGGCTAGGGCAGGCAGATTCACCTGAGGACGGGAGTTCGAGACCAGCCTGATCAACATGGAGAAACCCCATCTCTATTAAAAATACAAAAGAATTATTTTTTTTTGGTGGTGACACGTGCCTGTAATCCTAGCTACTCAGAAGGCTGAGGCAACAGAATCGCTTGAACCCGGGAGGCAGAAGTTGTGGTGAGCCGAGATTGCGCCATTGCACTCCAGCTTGGACAACAAGAGTGAAACCCCACTCCCCTCAAAAAAAAAAAAAAAACAACTATTTACTTTCTATATATGGTAGTATATAAGTATTTTAGGGAGCCTTAAATGATTAAAATGTGTTTTTCAAATCTAATTACTAAGAGCTGATGTTATTCCTGAAATTTTAGTATTGTTGTTTCCTATAATTGTTCCTGGTTTGAAGTAGCTATAGCATTAATTTATAAGTGTAATAAAGATTCAGATTCATTACTGATATTAGATCACTGACTTCTTTGTAAGTCTCAACCTCTTTTTCTTCTTTGACCCGACAACTGGACAAGCATCTGCTAGCCTCCTCTTTTGATGCTAGTGGGAAATTTAAACCTTGCAATTTTGCAGCCCTCATAAATGCTCAACCTGCTCTCACTATTTTACTTAAGCCAGTTAGGCTTCTCTGGGTATCCATTGTACAAAATATAAATAAATAAATAAATAAATAAGTAAATAAATAAGCTTACTGGGTGGGGTATCATGAGCCTTGACATTTGTCCTGAAATGGACAAAAGTCCATTTTACCTCTATAAAATGGCCCCCAAAACACAGGGTAGGTAAGTAATTTGTTTTTCTAGAATGTGACTCTCTGGTCTTAACCTGTATAATAGTTTTTTAATTAAAAAGGAATCAAACACAAAAAAATTATGTATTTCTAACTTCTAAGCATACAATTCTGTGGTTAATTCTACAATTACAAATTGTACATTTAATAACAAGTAAAATGATTATGGTAATTAAAGTGCAAGCAAATTTAAGAGTCAGATTATTGTAACCCAGGGACTGAGGTGAAGTATTACCCATTAAAAAAATGTATGTGTTCAACAGTTGTATAGATGCCAGTTAAAAGTAAGTGAACAATTACATGATAGATGATGATGATAGATAGATAGATAGATAGATAGATAGATAGATAGACAGATCGATCGATCTCCAAACTAGGACATTTATGGGAGCAAAAGAGAATACAATTAAAACTTCCACTGAGAAAAGGGATATAAGGCAAAAATATCCAGAAAAATTGATGTTTGGGCATTTGGATTGAAATCAGATTCAGAATTATGTAATGATACACATAACTTCACCTAACTCTGTTACCTTATACTCTTTTCTTCATTTCTACTAGATGTCTATATCCAACTTTGAATTTATTCTAGGTTGCTAGATTAAATAAGTATCTCATGTTCTGTCTTAAGTATCTCTTCTCTCAATCAACAGTGTTAGCACTACTATCAAATTTAATCTTCTAAATTTATAGGTTGTACCTCCTTGTGAGGAATCTTTCTGATTCCTCCAGTAATAAAAAAAGAATTGCCCTTTCCTTTCTGGTATACCTTTTAAAACCCCATCTGTAATTTATGACACTAAAAAATTCCAGTTCCCCAATAAGACAACTTTTTCCTATTGCAATTTCCACTGAGTCCTGAAACATCTGGATTCCCACTGAACATAAACTATTTACTATACCACTTACCACTTTGGTATATATTGTTTTTTTTTTCTCTCTCTGCCTACCCATCTCTACCTCTTTCCTTCCCTTTCCTCCCATCTCCCTATACATGTTAATCTCCTCTTCTGCTATTAAAGGTTTTTAAAATTTATTCTCTGAGGTGAGGATCTAAATACAACAAAAGAAACTGTTTGAATAGGAAAAGAACCCAGAATAATAGATTCATAATAATAATAATGATAATAACTAGTGTTTACTGAGCACATACCATAAAAATCAGGCTCTGTACTAAGATATCTATAGGTTTCAGCACCGTAATTTTTCCCAAAATTCCATGAGGCACTTACTGTCCTCATCTTCTTTTCTGGGGGTAATAAATTTGAAACTTAAGGAAAGCAAACACTATCCCCTAAGATTTCCAGAGCAAGTGAAGCTATTAAAACCTGTTAATACCTGGCTTCAGAGTTTGTGCTAATAAAATCTGCAGCACATTTGAGGATTATGCCAGTTAAGCCATATGTGATGCATATAACATGGAATTGACAGGAAATAGTTTTTTTTTTTTTCAAAATTAATTTAGTTGAAACTCAGTCCATCATTTGACCAGAGGAAGTCAAGTCTGGGTGTTGCTTTATTTTCTAAGCTATTTAAATTTCTTTTAGACTCAGAGTCAAAAAATATTTAGTGTTTTAAAATTTTATTTTGCGTGTCTTATCCTAATGAAGTTCAGTAACTGGACCTATATATATTATTAGAGTATAGTAAGCAACATTACACTCAAATTAGCTTTGAAAGTTATAGATTATTGCACAAAATAACCATTACATTATCCACTTCTATTTATTATATTTTGAAGGTACATTGTTGAAACAGAGAAGCAGTATTGGAGACCATCAACACCTTATCAATTTTAAGTGTATACACATGCCAATGGTAACTACAGAAGATGAAAAACATTGAGCTAATATCATAAGCATAAAGGATTAAATATAGTAGAAACAATAATGTACCAAAGTAAAATAATGTCACAATGTTTTCTAAAGTCATACAGTGTGCCTTCAGAATAATTGTCTCTTTAGCCAAATAGCTTATTTCAACCTTTTTGTTTGCTTTGATCTAATTTTCACGTGACTTAAAAAATTGATAAGAATATGAAACTGATTGTGGTTTAACATTACAGTGATTACTCTTCCTGAGAGAAAACATCTTTTCTGACACTGAGGCCAATCATACAATCATCTGGGTAATCTAGCTTTTAAAAAGCTGAAAATTACTTGCCTGTAGATGAATAAAAAGTTACTTTATTCTTTGCATTGCTAAGAAGTTTATTGCATATTTATTATTACAATCTGTAGTCCCTCATGCATTATTTAATTTCATTAGAGATAATGGGTAAATTGATACTCGGGACACTTTCTAACATTCTACTTTTGTCTCCATGCTGGCATGAAGGAAATATAGTCAGCATATAATCAGATAAGTATTATGGAATACATTGCCCTTTGTTTTAGATTTAGAAATCCCTTCACACGTTCTTTTCTGTACTGAAATGCACTAGCTTTATAGACGCACTTAAACAAAAAGCATTTTAAACAACAGCCTAATGGGAAAAAGATATTTTATACTTTCCGAAAAATCATTAAAATATGCATATATTTTAAAGCTTTATAGTGGCTCCTCATATAAGATATCATTAAAATTTAGAATTATTTACTAAATTTCAGACAGTGCATAATTTTCTGCTTTATTGACATGGTCCTGGTTAAAAGAGAAACAGCTTAGTTTTAAGATTATACTATTCATTGAGATAATGAAGCTAGGCGCTGATTCAAGAGAAAAATAAAAACAATGACAAATCCAAAACCAAACAAAACTTGAGGTTTACAGCAACATCTTATTTTAGCAGGGGCTTCAAGGGAAAAAGAAAATAACATTAATCAGAAAAAGAGAAATGGGTTATATCAGAATAAAAATTTTAAAAATAGACATCAATTATATCCATAGTTCTATTAAGCTTCATTAAAATGATAGAGAAGATAAAATCCTACTATCTATAACTTACCTATCAATATGTAGAATACAGAGTCATGACAATTTAGAAAACACATTGTAAAACAATTAAACGTAAATCTCCTAAGAAAATTTTGGAGGGTACCTAGGCAATGTAGGGGTATAACTCTGTTCTTTTTCAAAATTATTTTGTCCATTAAGGATACTTTGCATCTCTACATTAATTTTAGGGGCATCTTGTTGATTTATGCAAAAAATAAAAAATAAAAAACCTGTAGCCAGAGAGGACTTTGAAAGGAATTATGCAGAATCGTAGATCAATTTGGAAATTATAATCATCTTAATGTCCAATCCATAAACCATGGGAAGTGTTTTATTATTTAGCTCTTCTTTAATTTTTTATATAAAGTTTTGTACTTTTCAAAGTGTAAATAATGCACTTCTTTTGTTAAAATAATTTCTAAACACTTTATTATTTTCAAGCCATTGAAACTAGATTTGTTTTCTTATTTTCAGATTATCCATTGCTAGTATATAGAAATACAAGTTGTTTTTGTGTATTGTTCATATATATCCTACAACATTACTAAACTTGTCTTTTAATCTTAATAGTGGATTCCTTAGACTATTTTATATGCAAAGACAATAATATTGATCTATCTATTTCACATTTGCTTATTTAAGGTTAAATCGTAAAGAAGGAAAATTTGTATTCCATCAAAGTTTCTGTTCTTATAAGGTTATAAACCTAGAAAAAACTCCATGTTTGGCCGTAAGTCTTTAAGAATAATAAAATATATGTGTAGTAAACCTATAGAGAAAATAATACATTAGAGAGAGATACAATTACATATTTTTTTAAAAAACTGAGCCAGAGTGATATTTCAGAATAGAAAGTAAATTTTCTCCCCAATGTCAATATTTTCCAAATTGATTTACACATTTACTTCAGTTGTAGGCTGAGTTATAATAAAGATTATCTGTAGCACTTATTTCTGAACTTGGGAAATCAATAAAGCAGTTTATCTGAGAGAATAATAATTGATATTTGATTAATAATAGACAATCATAAAATCAAAGGGACTTTAAAAGTCAGTATTTGATTAAGAATTTTCTACAATTTGAGAAAAGAGATATTTTAAATCTGAAAAGTGTAAAATAATGTTTAATATGGTACTGATGTAAATAGTTCATCATTATCCTTTGGAGTAAAATACAGTATCTGTGTCTTCTTCTACAACCAGAATGAATTACATGTGTAAATTAGAGGTTATTAGACAACTTTGATGACACCTAAGTGACTATTTTTTTATTTGTACATAAAAGGATGTATTCACATAAAACGAATAAAGTAGTTGAAGAGAGAGAAAAGGGAAAAATTAACATAAGAAAATAGAAGAAAACTATGAAAAATTTTTGCAAAATATATGAGTAGTAGGATTTTGGTGTGATCAGAATTTTAAAATTGCCCACCAAGATTTTCTGCCTAATCCCTGGGAGGGAGGATATAATGTGACAGAACACCCTGGTCAGGGTTTTTGCAGATGTAATTAAAGTCCTTCATCATTTATGTTTGAGTTAATCAAAAAAGAGATTATCCAGTGAAACCTATTCCAATAATATCAATTCTTTAAATAACAATGAGTTTTCCACAGATGGTCACAGTTTGATACCTCATGGGACTTGAAGAGCAAGAAGGAGTTGACATGTTGTTGTTGGCTTTAAATGGAGGACACCGATGACGAGGAATTTGAGCAGCCTCCAGAAGCTGAGCATAACCTCCAGTTAAACAGGTAGCAAGGAACTGGGGCCTTCAGTCCTACAACTGCAAGGAACTGAATGATCTCTGAAGGGGATTGTCCTTAAAAGCCTCTAGAGAAGAGTTGTGAATGGCTGACAACTTGATTTTGGTCTTATGAGACTCTAACTTCTAGAATTTTAAGATATTAATATGCATTGTTTTAATCTCCTAAATTTGTGATATGTTTTGATGCAGCAATAAAACATAATTAAATGCTTAATACAAAGTGTCTTTAACAATCATTTAAAAAAAGATGGATATCCTACTTAAAACATAAGACCAAAAAGTGTAAAGAAGTAGATTATAAAATTTTAAAAATAAATGACAAAAATATGGAGGTAAAATTTTTAAGCACACAATAGTAAGGAAATAAAAAAAAAGTAAGATTGTTTTCAGTGACGACCAAATGTGCAACTTTTTTTCCTAAATAGTAAGTTATTCTTTCATTCATTCAGTTAGAAGTGTTTACTGAGTTTTTACTAGTTACTAGGTATAGGTCTGGGTGCATACAGATTGGCAAACTGACACCATCTCAGTCATTCAGATAAACTGCCTGGGTTGAACTGAATGGACGTGCTACAATACCATTCTTATCCACCTCCAGGTGGCATATAAACTGATATAACTTTCAGTGGTCAATTTGGTAACATATACAATTTTTCACAACTTTGTGTCCTTAAAATTATTAATTTTAGTGCTCAGAGTATATTTGAATTTTTAGAGGTTTATACAAAATAAATAGTATATTATACAGTATAGTATATTATTTTAATTTCAAGATTAGTTATGACAAGGTATTTAAATGCTGTCTTATATAACACAATAGAATTATTAATGAAGTATAACCATATAATGAATCAGGTTTTAAGAATCAGGTTTTAAAAATCACATTTCTCAATAATAATTGATGCTCAGGAATATAGGCAATAATGTTTCACATACGATCCTATTGTCTTATAGTTAGTTATAGAAAAGCCATAAGCCAATATAATTTGGAAAAATAAGCTGCTATTTGGCTGGTTTTCCCTAACCTAAAGTAATAAAGTAGCTTTGTGACCTACTGATAAACTTTATCAAAACATGAAGAGAATAATTATTATTGATTTAAGTACTGTTAATTTATTTCTATGATTATATATTTTATTCATGAGATATCAAACTTGATCTAAATTCTTAATTTACAAGACTCTGCCAGCTGTTTACATTATATATTTTATTCAAGTAGAATGTGATTTCACTAGACAGATTAACAGTGACTGCTGTCCTACCTCAAAGCATTGGGACAGAGAGGACAGTCGTGATTCTAGAGTGACAGATAAATAAAAGGAATAGTCAGCAGAGTAAACAGACAACACACAGAGTGGGAGAAAATCTTCACAATCTATACATCTGACAAAGGACTAATATCCAGAATCTACAATGAACTCAAACAATTCAGTAAGGAAAAAAATCAAACAATCCCATTGAAAAGTAGGCTAAGGACATGAATAGACAATTCTCAAAAGAAGATATACAAATGGCCAACAAACATATGAAAAAATGCTCAACGTCAGTAATGATCAGGGAAATGCAAATCAAAACCACAATGTGATACCACCTTACTCCTGCAAGAATGGCTGTAATCAAAAAATCAAGAAACAGCAGATGTTGGTGTGGAGGCGGTGAGCAGGGAACACCTCTACATTGCTGGTGGGAACGTAAACTAGTATTGAAATGGGGAAGGTTCCTTTGTTCCCCTTGCAAGGCGTGCAACAGGGGAAGTGTTTCACTTCTTCAGTGCCCCGCTACTCAAACTTCTAGAAGAACATACAGACAGGCAGGCTGTGAGGCTCTGACCCCACGGCAGTGTCTATGGGTGGGTGTTTACAGCTCCTGAAGCCCCAGTTGGTGTGTGCTAAAGGGTACTCTTTTATTCTTGCCATCTGTAGGTGGCTTGTGTTAACCAGCTCAATTAGATGCTCTACCTTTTTGGGAGAACAGAAGGCTTTCTGCATCCTGGGTTCTTGCCTTGGTGTACCAGAAGAATCGGATCACAGGTGGGCTTGGAAAATGAGTGCAAGGTTTTACTGAGTGGAAGTAGTACTCAACAGATGAGGGAGCCAGAAAGGAGATGGTTTTCCCTGGAGTCCAGCCACTCAGAGGCCTGGGCTCTCCTCTGACTGCCTGAGCCAAACTCCGCCTCATTCAGCCAGCTGGCCTGCCGACCTGCCAGTGTCTGTCGGTGTGCTCTTCTGCCGGCGTGCTCCCATCAATACCCTCTCAACATCCAGCCATTCGTGTCTTCTTTGGCTGATCTGCTCCTCTCCATGCCCATCTTCTTGTGTGCCTGCCTGCTAGGGTCTCAGGGGTTATTACAGGTACTGGATGGGGGGGCATGGAGGGCTGGGGTGGTCTTGGGAAATGCCGCATTTTGGTGTGAAGGCAGGAGTGTCTGTCACCAACTAGGTCCGTGGACACAGGCCCAGGGGTGGATCCACCCACCCCTTCCCAGGGATCCACACTTCCTTTCCCAGCACCTCCCTGTCCCCCTTCTGTATCAGTACAGCCACTATGGAAAACAATGCAGAGATTCCTTAAAGAACTAAAAGTACAACTACTATTTGATCCAATAATCCCACTACTGGGTATCTACCCAGAGGAAAAGAAGTCATATGAAAAAGATACTTGCACAGGCATGTTTATAGCAGCACAATTCACAATTGCAAAATCGTGGAACCAACCTAAAAGCCTATCGATCAAAGAGTGGATAAAGAAACTGTGGTATATATACATATATGACGGAATACTACTCAGCCATAAAATCAAATGAATTAATAGCATTTGCAGTGACCTGGATGAGATTGGAGACCATTATTCTAAGTGAAGTAACTCAGGAATGGAAAACCAAATATCGTATGTTCCCACTGATATGTGGGAGCTAAGCTATGAGGACGCAAAGACATAAGAATGATACAATTGACTTTGGGAACTTGGGCGGAAGAGTGGGAGGGGGTCAAGGGATAAAAGACTACAAATATGGGGCTGTGTATACTGCTCAGGTGACGGGTGCACTAAAATCTCACAAATCACCACTGAAGAATTTACTCATGTAACCAAGTACTACCTGTACCCCAATAACCTAGGGAAACAATTATTTTTTAGTGATTCTTTGATAGTCCATCAGCAAATTTCATGAATTTTTGATCTGACTTGCACTGTGTAACAACTATAGGAAAAGACAATTGGCTTTAACATATCCTTCAAACCACTAACAAGTCAAGAAACATTCAGTTAGTTTATTTACTTTATTTGGGCCTTAATACATTTACATTTTCCTCTTAAGCTTTCTAATGAATTGTTGAAATTGGGAAAGCTACCTGTATTTGGCTGTTCCAAATATCAAATTAAGTGTGTGTTCATGGTTATACTAACTCATTGTCCAACAGAATCACAAGCTCAAAATATTTTGAGTTAGAAAGCTTATATAACAATGATAGGAAAATATTTTGTTTTGCGTGCTTCCATTAAGGTAAAGCTTACCTATGTCACGCACATCGTTCAAATTTTTTTATTTTATTTTTACCCATCAGTCCAAGTTTCCGAGAATATGTGAGAAGAGAATTTATGTTCTTATTTTTGCTGACCATTGTTGTCATTGTGCATCAGCTTTCACGCCCAACTCTTACCGGCAAGCCCCCATTTCTTTATTCCTTAGTGGTCCGTTAAGGTCCGTTAAGACAGGAAAAATGGCCAGGCGCGGTAGCTCATGCCTGTAATCCCAGCACTTTGGGAGGCCGAGGTGGGCGGATAACCAAGTAAGGAGATCGAGACCAACCTGGCTAACAGGGTGAAACCCCATCTCTACTAAAAATACAAAAAATTAGCCGGGCGTGGTGGCGGGCACCTGTGGTCCCAGCTAATAGGGAGGCTGAGGCAGGAGAATGGCGTGAACCTGGGAGGCGGAGCTTGCAGTGAGCGGAGATCGCGCCACTGCACTCCAGCCTAGGCGACAGAGGGAGACTCCGTCTCAAAAAAAAAAAAAAAAAAGATAGAAAAAATGGGCTAGATCTACTATTTTTGGTACACACACACTAGATAAACTTCCTTGACGTGATAATATCTTCTCTACTGTGAGTTAATTTCTTATTGTTATTTTTTCTATTTTTGTGTATTTTTATTGTGCTACCTTATATTTTCTCCTTCCTCTTGTTCCCTGAATTGGATATTGTTTTATAAGACTCTGATGGCAAGCTTTTTTCCTTAACTTGTTTTATTTAATAGCCAGACTTTTTATAGCATGTTGGGAGAAAGATGCAGAAAATATATGCATTGATGTCCTCTAGTCAGAAGACAGATTCACATCAATGAAAAAACAGGGTGCTGAATTATTTTGGATTACACAATGTAGAAATATATCTGTATCACTGAGCAGTTATAACTGAGTGAGGGAGATGACATACACACAAAAAAGAAGCAACTCAGGAGAAATTGTAGGAAATTGTAATCTGATAAGATGGACTAAAAAAACCATTTTTAGAATTAAGACACAATATAGAGTTTTTATTTAGAGATTGTTAATGCACTCCAACACACTTCAACCACCCAACTACAATATTACAGACTATTTGGAACTTAAAGGAGTTTCATGAAATGTAAGCAGGGTGAAGAGAGAAAGTGTGAATTTGAAGTGGAAGTGATGACAACATAATCAGAGGATCTAGGGCGCCAGTGCAAGTTTATTCTAGTAACACCCACTTGAGAATATGTGAAGAATAGAAGTATTAGAGAAAAAATACATCTAGCACCTGATAGGAATCATTAACATGTCAACACCATATTGCAAAGAACAATATAAATCTGACATAATCACTTCTGTTCTTTGAATCTGGTTATATCAATCTAAAAATATATGTGCATTCATTATTAGAGGAGTATGACAAAGCATCTAATTTTATAAGAAAAATAAACTAGCTACACAGAAGGCTAAGAATATTAACCTCTTTTGAACTTACCTATGTCATCTAAGAAATTTATAAATTAAGTAACTTACTGCCACTAACCCAAAGAGTACCTGCCTTTTGTTGCTATGTTTTTGCTATGACAGCATTCTATCCTCTTTGCTAAATATTTTGTTAGTCACTGTTATTATAAGCATTTTTCTTAAATAGGTTGCTACTCATAAATTTCTTTTATTTCAAAAATCCTTTTTATGCTTACTTATGAAAATGGATCCTGAATTTTCTGTTTCCATGAAATCAAGGGAATGTTAAATTAATGGCTATTTATAATAAGATAATAAATTACTAGTGCTGATAAAATTATATACATATTACTTTTAGAGATCCAAAATACATAATGCAAGGCATCCCACATAAGTAAAAAATTTGGGCAAGCACACATTACACCTACTAAATTATATTATTGTATTTATTACCTTATAATGATTTTGAAAGTATATGTAAAAAGAAAACAAGATTTGTTTTCTCTGTTGCCCTTAAAACAGAGGGGATGGCCGGGCGTGGTGGCTCACGCCTGTAATCCCAGCACTTTGGGAGGCCGAGGCGGGTGGATCATGAGGTCAGGAGATCGAGACCATCCTGGCTAACAAGGTGAAACCCCGTCTCTACTAAAAATACAAAAAATTAGCCGGGCGCGGTGGCGGGCGCCTGTGGTCCCAGCTACTCGGGAGGCTGAGGCAGGAGAATGGCGTGAACCCGGGAAGCGGAGCTTGCAGTGAGCCGAGATTGCGCCACTGCAGTCCGCAGTCCGGCCTGGGCGACAGAGCGAGACTCTGTCTCAAAAAAAAAGAAAAAAAAAAAAAAAAACAGAGGGGATATTTTAAATATAATAAAAGTCTAAAATTGATTCTATCAGGTAATTTGGATGATGTATAGCATATACCAATAGCATAATTTTTTAAAAGTAAAATATATTGTTGATTTTAATACTGTAGTGAACCAATCTGAATTAAAAATAACTTTAATATTGAGTGAGAAAGTCTTACACTTTTCCTTAATTATGCAGGCAATTAGAAAGTCTTGCTTGTACTTAGGTTGTCAAAAGTAGATGTGTTGTTAAGATTAACAAAACAATGTATCAGCATGTGTATTATGTGGTGATCCTTCTCCATTTAGCTGAGAGTTTTAGCAGTATGAAAAATAAATTTCCTCTGTGCTGTCAAGCTTACATTAAAAATAAATTTAGAAACCTATTTTCATTTGCATCTTTTTGGGGAACTATGTTAACTTCATCATGTATTTTTTTAAGAGAACTTTTTGTTTGTTTAATAAATTGTTTAACACTCAAAACATCTGTATCTGAAAGACTTATTAATCATTTATGTATACAAAATATAAGTAAGAACATTAAAGTTTGAAATGATACAAGAAAACAATATTTCTAATTTCTTATGCTTGAAGTCAGATTTGCCAAGAAATTGTGAATCATTCTTTTTAAAGAGTGGATTCCTATCTCTGATCCATCCCTTGCTTCCTTCCTTCCTTCCTGCCTTGCTTCCTTCCTTCTTTCCTTCCTCCCTCCCTTCCTCCTTCCCTCCCTCTCATTCTCTTTCTCTCTTTCTTTCTTTCTTTTTCTTTCTTTTCTTTCTTTCATTATTTTTATTATACTTTTAAGTTCTGGGGGTACATGTGCAGAACGTGCATGTTTGTTACATAGGTATACACATGCCATGGTGGTTTGCTGCGCCCATCAACCCGTCATCTACATTAGGTGTTTCTCCTAATACTATCCCTCCCCTACTCCCCTACCCTCCAACAGGCCCTGGTGTGTGATATTTCCCTCCCTGTGTCCATGTGTTCTCATTGTTCAACTCCCACTTATGAGTGAGAACATATGGTGTCTGGTTTTCTGTTCTTGTGTTAGTTTGCTGAGAGTGATGGTTTCCAGCATTATCCATGTCCCTGCAAAGGACATGAACTCATTATTTTTTATGGCTGCATAGTATTCCATGGTGTATATGTGCCACATTTTCTTTATCCAGTCTATCATTGATGGACATTTGGGTTGGTTCCAAGTCTTTGCTGTTTTAACAGTGCCGCAATAAACATATGTGTGCATGTGTCTTTATAGTAGAATGATTTATAATCCTTGGGTATATACCCAGTAATGGGATTGCTGGGTCAAATGGTATTTCTAGTTCTAGATCCTTGAGGAATCGCCACACTGTCTTCCACAATGGTTGAACTAATTTACAGTCCCACCAACAAAGTAAAAGTGTTCCTATTTCTCCACATCCTCTGCAGCATCTGTTGTTTCCTGACTTTTTATTGATCACCATTCTAATTAGCATGAGATGGTATCTCATTGTGGTTTTGATTTGCATTTATCTAATGACCAGTGATGATAAGCTTTTTTTCATGTGTTTTTTTGGCTGAATTAATGTCTTCTTTTGAGAAGTGTCTTTGCCCAGTTTTTGATGGAGTTGTTTGTTTTTCTCTTGTAAATCCGTTTATGTTCTTTGTAGATTCTGGACATTAGCCCTTTTTCCAATGGATAGACTGCAAAAATTTTCTCTCATTCTTTAGGTTGCCTGTTCACTCTGATGATAGTTTCTTTTGTTGTGCAGAAGCTCTTTAGTTTAATCAAATCTCATTAGTCTATTTTGGCTTTTGTTGCCATTGCTTTTGGTGTTTTAGTCATGAAGTCTTTGCCCATGCCTATGTCCTGAATGGTATTGCCTAGGTTTTCTTCTAGGGTTTTTATGGTTTTAGGTCTTACATTTAAGTCTTTAATCCATCTTGAGTTAATTTTTGTATAAGGTGTAAGGAAGGTATCCAGTTTTGGCTTTCTGCATATGGCTAGCCAGTTTTCCCAACACCATTTATTAAATAGGGAATTCTTCCCCCATTTCTTGTTTTTGTCAAGTTTGTCAAAGATCAGATGGTTGTAGATGTGCAGCATTATTTCTGAGGCCTCTGTTCTGTTCTATTGGTCCATATCTCTGTTTTGGTACTGGTACCATTCTGTTTTTGTTACTGTAGCCTTGTAGTATAGTTTGAAGTCAGGTAGCATGATGCCTCCAGCTTTGTTCTTTCTCCTTAGGATTGTCTTGGCTGTGCAGGGTCTTTTTTAGTTCCATATATTCCAGGTGCCACTGGGGTATGAAAAAAAAAAGAAAAACTCCTGTGGCTAGCTCTGTGTCTGCTCAAACAGCCACCCAGTTTTGTGCTGGAAACCCAGGGCCCTGGTGGTATAGGCACCTGGAGGAATCTCCTGGTCTGCGGGTTGCAAAGACTGTGGGGAAAGCACAGTATCTGAGTGCACAGTGTCTGAGTGCACGGTACAGTCCCTAATTGCCTCGCTTGGCTGGGGGAGGGAGTTTCCCAACCCCTTGTGCTTTCTGGGTGAGATGATGCCCCACCCTACTTCGGCTCGCCCTCATTGGGCTGCACCCACTGCCCAACTAGTCCTAATGAGATGAACTGGGTACCTCAGTTGGAAATGCAGAAATCACTCGCCTTCTGAGTCAATCTTGCTGGGAGCTTCAGATCGGAGCTGTTCCTATTTGGCTATCTTGCCAGCGACCCCCCAGTTGAATATTTATTCAATAAATATTTACTTGTTGCTTACTCCATGTTAGGATATCTTCTGTGCCCTGGAGCTATAGCAGCGAGCAGAGCAAATGTCCTGCCCCCACTGCGTCCTTGTCTTGGTAAAATTTGTGTTGCTATATCAGAATGAGACTGAGTAATTTACAAAGAAAAGAGGTTTAGTTAGCTTATGGTTCTGTAGGCCAGGAGGTTTAAAGGGCAGGGCGTTGGCATCTACTCAGCTTCTGGTGAAGGCATTTGTGTTGGATCAAAACATAATGGAGAATATTCCATGTGGGAAGGCAGACCAATCATAATGAGGAAACGCTCTTTATAATAACCTGCTGTTATGGGAGCTAATCCGTTCTTGGAAGAACTCATCTAGTCATGTGAGACTGAGAACTTACTCACTAGCATAGAGATAGACACCAGGTCATTCAGGAGGGATTTGCCCCCGTGACCTAAACACTTCCTCTTTGGCCCACCTCCTAATAGTGCTGCATTGGCAATTAAACTTCAACATGACATTGGGTGTGGACAAACCATATCTAACCATAGCAGTTCCCATTCCAGTGAGGGGAGACAGCCAATGCGAGGTGATACATGACATAAAGAAAATAATACACATGAATGGATGGAGTCACATGAAAAAGATAAGCTGGCTAATCAGGGATGATTGTTTGAGATACCTGAGCAGAAATCTAAAACAATCACATTTTTAAAAGACAAAAAACGGAGGAAGCAGTAAGAAAAAGACTAATAGATTTCCAAGCAAGAGCAAGTGGGCTGATGGAGTGTGCATAACCAAATAAAAATGCTTGGGAAATTACTAGATGTAAATTGGGTCAAGAACATACAGAACTCTGCAGGATACAATACACTATGTTGTTTACATTTTATTCTAAGATGAAATGCCATGGGAGGGCTATAAGCAGATTCGTGAAATGGTGAGACCACATTTTCAAAGAATCACTCTTTCTGCCAAATAAAGGGTAAAATGTGTCAGGGGTGGTGGGAGTGTGGGCAGAGGTAAGGGTGAGTAGGATAGAGGAGAGGCAACTGGGGAGCGTAAAGCAAGAAACTTTACAAATTGTGAAAATAGACTAGACAAGAAATGGGGTTCAGTTACAGTAAAGTGATAATGGTGAAAGTTGAATCTTTGCATTCCAGATGTGTTTTGGAAATAAAATCCCTAGGTTTAGCAGATATGGATTGTGAGGGGAAAGAAACAATCACATGATTTTGAGATTTTTTTTAGATCTTATCATTTGGCAGAATATAGTTTCCATTTACGGTGATGTTTAATGCTTGGAGAGGAGCAGGCATGATTTTGGAGGTGAATCATGAGCCAGCTTGGAGATATCTTAAATTTGAAGCATCCATATGCCATTCAAGCAGAGATGTGGAATAGAAATATATCAATCTTTCAATTAGTATCTCCTGAACAAACACTTAAGTACTTAAATAGCCAAGCATGAATATACCAACAGGGGCCATTTTAAGTATCATTCCAATAATTATGAAAACTAAGGACTTGAGAACAGTTTCATACATTAAGTGGTGACAGTCTCCATGTTCATGGAAATGAAAGCCAAACGTCCCATCACTGAAACCAGACATTACTTTTTATTTTTTAAAAATTTTAACTTTCACTTGGAAATAATTTTAGTCTTACACAAAGTTTGCAAAAACACGACAAATAATTTGTCTATATTTTTGACATGACTTTCCTAAAAGTGAACATTTTATATAACCACCACGTAATTATCATAAACAGAAAATCAATATCAATGCATTACTACTAACCGTTCAAATATTGTTAATTATTTCATCAATGACCATCATTGTACATTGTTTTTACTTGTCATCTTGGTAACTTTGTTTTTCTAGGATATTTATTTAGCCTTTACCTATCAAAACTTACAGTGGCCATTAATTTTGGATGTTGTCCCTCAATTTGAATTTGTCTGGTCAATTCTTAGGAAGAAGTTTAAGAAATGCCTTTTTTTTTTTTTGCAAGTATACAACAGAGATGTTGTTCTCTTCTCAGTACACCAGGAGGCACATAATGCTAATATGTTTCATTAATGATGATAACTTTGATCACTTGGTTAATGTCATGTCTGCTAGATTTTCTCCACTGTAATGTTACTATTCTTTCATTTATGATTATCAGTATCATACAGGGAAATAATTTGAGACCACAAACATATACTGTTTCCATTATTTTTGGCCAAGAAATAAATGAGCCATTTCTCCAAAGATATCTGTACTTGTTTCTATTAGAAAATGTTTATTTAGAAACTAATATTTTACTGTCCAAGTGCTCACTGATGCTAAGGTTTCATTGCTTCTGGGCCCTTTCAGCAGAAATAGATAGGAAATGTACAAATGAGCTTATACGTATATAATCACATATCTATCAAAATATATATAACCTGAGTTCATACTGATATCTCCAATATCAATCTAACACCTCAGGGTTTATTCTAACCCCACCTGTCTCTTCTCAGACAATGACGAGTTTGGCTTTCATTCTCTACAATATATTCTCTACAATATTAAAGAACAATATTTAAGAATGGGTCTTATGTACTTGGCCTTAAATACATAAGACATAATGTATTTAAATACATGAATACATAATGTAACTTTATAACATACAAATAACTATGTTATAAACTTACATAAGCTAATTATTTTCTTTTCACCCTTTACAGTGTGATTATGTTACACATTTGTAACAGATTTGAATTCCTTACACCTTTTCTATTCCACTTGTCCCCCAGGATCTTTTTTCTATATTTCTTTTTTTTTTTTTTTTTTGAGACGGAGTCTCGCTCTGTCGCCCAGGCGGGACTTGCGGACTGCAGTGGCGCAATCTCGGCTCACTGCAAGCTCCGCTTCCCGGGTTCACGCCATTCTCCTGCCTCAGCCTCCCGAGTAGCTGGGACTACAGGCGCCCGCCACCGCGCCCGGCTAATTTTTTTTGTATTTTTAGTAGAGACGGGGTTTCACCTTGTTAGCCAGGATGGTTTCGATCTCCTTCTATATTTCTTATTCTAAAAAAATTTAGGTTTTTAGAATGTGAAACATCAGCTGTATTCTAAAAGACCAACATATACAAATAGCTATATTCAAAGAAGTGTTAACTTCCCATACTTCTTATTCATTCTAAGACATTTTTATATATTCATTTTCTGCCCCATTACCACCATCCCTACATGAAACCACATTAATTAGTTCATAATGTGTTCTTCTTGTATTTCCTGTTTCAAAAAATACAGATACATATGTATTTTCTTAATCCCTCTTTAGTCTTACATGAAAGACAGAAAGCTACAGATACATTTTCACACTTTTTTTTTTTGTCACTTAATGATATATCCTGAAACTCTACATCAATCTCTTTTTCTACCCCTGCACAGTATTAAATATTCCATGGTGTGGATGTCCTGGTTTCATGCGCGTCCCTGTGAAGAGACTACCAAACAGGCTTTGTGTGAGCAACAAGGCTGTTTATTTCACCTGGGTGCAGGCGGGCTGAGTCTGAAAAGAGTCAGGGAAGGGAGATGGGGTGGGGCTGTTTTATAGGATTTGGGTAGGTAAGGGAAAAAGGGGGATTGTTCTCTGGCAGGCAGGAGTGGGGGTCACAAGGTGCTCAGTAGGGGAGCTTTTGAGCCAGGATGAGCCAGGAGAAGGAATTTCACAAGATAATGCTATCAGTTAAGGCAGGAACAGGCCATTTTCACTTCTTTTGTGGTGGAATGTCATCAGTTAAGGCAGGAACCAGCCATCTGGATGTGTACGTGAAGGTCACAGGGGATGTGATGGCTTAGCTTGGGCTCAGAGGCCTGACATTCCTGTCTTCTTATATTAATAAGAAAAATAAAATGAAATAGTGGTAAAGTGTTGGGACCGTAAAAATTTTGGGGGATGGTATGAAAAGATAATGGGCGATGTTTCTCAGGGCTGCTTTGAGCGGGATTAGGAGCGGCGTGGGAACCTAGAGTGGGAGAGATTAAGCTGAAGGAAGATTTTGTGGTAAGGGGTGATATTGTGGGACTGTTAGAAGAAATATTTGTCATTTAGAATTATTGGTGACGGCCTGGATACGGTTTTGTATGAATTGAAAAACTAAACGGAATAAGCGAAGGAGAAAAACAGGTATTAAAGGTCTAAGAATTGGGAGGACCTAGGACATCTAATTAGAGAGTGCCTAAGGAGGTTCAGCATAGCCCTGGAGCAAAGATTATTTATTTACTTTAAGAGTTAAGAGTGGCAGTTTGGGGATAGCACCAGGAGGTATCAGCTGTGATGGCTTGGAGAAACAGAGTAAACTGGCAGTGTAAACAAGAGCAGAGCATGTATGAGTAGTTGAGAATGGTGAATAGGAGTATGACTAGACAGAAGATAGTAGGGATGACAAGTTTTTGGGGCACAGTCTAAGTTGGTCTGGTGTCTGGAATGAGACTGGGGCTTAATAAAAAGGAACATCCATACAGGAGCTTAAATGAGCTGTACCTTGTAGCATTCTAAGGACAGGCCTGTATTCTGAGAAAAGAAAGAGGTAAAAGTATTGTCCAGTCCTTTTTAAGTTGGTGGCTGAGCCTGGTGAGGTGTGTTTTTAAAAGATTATTAGTCTGTTTTACCTTTCCTGAAGACTGAGGACTGTAAGGGATATAAAGGTTTCACTGAATACTAAGAGCCTGAAAAGCTGCTTGCCTAATTTGACTAATAAAGGCTGGTCTGCTATCGGACTGCATAGAGGTAGGAAGGCTAAACTGAGTAATTGTGTCTGACAGAAGGGAAGAAATGACTGCGGTGGCCTTCTCAGACCCTGCAGGAAAGGCTTCTACTTATCTAGTGAAAGTGTCTACTTAGACTAAGAGGTATTTTAGTTTTTTGACTCGGGCCATGTTGAGTAAAGCTAATTTGCCAGTCCTGGGTGGGGGCAAATCCCTGAGCTTGATGTGTAGGGAAGGGAGGGGGCCTGAATAATCCTTGAGGAGTAGTAGAATAGCAGATGGAACACTAAGAAGTTATTTCCTTGAGGATAGATTTCCACAATGGAAAGGAAATGAGAGGTTCTAAAAGGCGGGCTAGTGGCTTGTACTATAGCATAGCCTGCCTTTGCTGGTGTGTGGCGATTAGGCCTGGTGGAACTGCCATCAATAAACCAAGTGTGATCAGGGTGAAAAACAGGGAAGAAGGAATGTAGGGAAATGGGGTGAACATCAGGTGGATCAGAGAGAGATAGTCATGAGGGTCAGGTGTGGTATCAGGAATAATATGGGAGGCTGGATTGAAGTCTGGGCCAGGAACAATGGTAATTGTGGGAGACTTAACAAAGAGTGAGTACAGCTGAAGGAGCCAGGAAGCAGAAAGTATATGTGTCAGGTGTGAGGAAGAAAATAGATTTTGGAAGTTATAAGAACTGTAGAGAGTGAGTTGAGCATAGTTTGTGATTTTAAGGGCCTCTAAAAGTATTAGGGCAGTGGCAGCCACCACATGCAGACTTAAGGGATAGGCCAAGTAGTAAGGTCAAGTTGTTTGGATAAAAAGGCTACAGGACGCGATCCCGGTCCTTGTGAAAGAATTCCGACCGCACAGCCCTGCACTTCAGCTGTGTGTAATGAAAAGGGTTGGGATGAGTCAGGGAGAGCTAGAGTGGGGGCAATCTTCAAAGCTGTCTTCAAGGAATGGAAAGAGGAGTGGGGAAAGGATTTAGGATCTATGGGGTCAGCTAGGTTTCCTTCTGTGAGTTTATATAATGGTTTCGTTAGGGTGGCAAAACCAGGTATCTAAAGGTGAAAGTATCCAACCATGCCTAGGAAGGAAAGGAGTTGTTGTTTTGTAGAAGGGGTTGGGGTTTGAGAGATTAGTCGGACATGATCGGCAGGGAGAGCACGTGTGTTTTTATGAGAATTATGCTGAGATAGGTAACAGATAAGGAAGAAATTTGGGCTTGACTGAAGTAACGGGGGCTGTCTGTGAAGCCTTGCGGCAGTACAGCCCAGGTAATTTGCTGAGCCTGATGGGTGTCAGGGTCAGTCCAAGTGAAAGCGAAGAGACGCTGTGATGAAGGGTGCAAAGGAATAGTAAAGAAAGCATGTTTGAGATCCAGAACAGAATAATGGATTGTGGAGGGAGGTATTGAGGATAGGAGAGTATATGGGTTTGGCACCATGGGGTGGATAGGCAAAACAATTTGGTTGATAAGGCATAGATCCTGAACTAACCTGTAAGGCTTGTCTGGTTTTAGGACAGGTAAAATGCGGGAATTGTAAGGAGAGTTTATAGGCTTTAAAAGGCCATGCTGTAGCAGGTGAGTGATAACAGGCTTTAATCTTTTCAAAGCATGCTGTGGGATGGGATATTGGCATTGAGCGGGGTAAGGGTGATTAGGTTTTAATGAGATGGTAAGGGGTGCATGATCGGTCGCCAAGGAGGGAGTAGAGGTATCTTATACTTGTGGGTTAAGGTAGGGGGATACAAGAGGAGGAAGCAAAGGAGGCTTTGGATTGGGAAGAAGGGTGGCAATGAGATGCAGCTGTAATCCAGGAATAGTCAGGGAAGCAGATAATTTAGTTAAAGTGTGTCTCGGCCTAATAAAGGAACTGGGCAGGTGGGGACAACTACAAAGGAGTGCTTAAAAGAGTATTGTCTAAGTTGGCACCAGAGTCGGGGAGTTTTAAGAGGTTTAGAAGCCTGGCTGTCAATACCTGCAACAGTTATGGAAGCAAGGGAAACAGGCTTTTGAAAAGAAGGTAATGTGGAGTGGGTAGCCTCTGTATTGATTAAGAAGGGGACGGACTTACTCTCCACTGTGAGAGTTACCTAAAGCTCGGCGTCCGTGATGGTCTACAGGGCTTCTGAGGCAATCAGGCAGTGTCAGTCTTCAGCCGCTAAGCCGAGAAGATTGGGAAGGAGTCAGTCTGAGAGCCTTGGGCCAGAGTTCCAGGGGCTCTGGGAGTGGCTGCCAGGTGAGTTGAACAGTCTGATTTCCAGTGGGGTCCTGCACAGATGGGACACGGCTTAGGAGGAATCCCGGGCTGTGGGCATTCCTTGGCCTGGTGGCCAGATTTCTGGCACTTGTAGCAAGTTTCTGGGGGAGGCGGTTCTGGAGGAACACCTGGCCACTGTGGTTTAAGCGTTTGGAAGTTCTTGTGTGCTGGAGATGTGGCTGTGGTTTCTCTCACAGTGGAGGCAAGGAATTGCAACTCAGAAATATGTTGCTACTTGGCTGCCTCTACTCTATTATTGTACACCTTGAAGGTAAGGTTAATTAAGTCCTGTTGTGGGGTTTGAGGGCCGGAATTTAATTTTTGGAGTTTTATTTAATGTTGGGAGCAGATTGGGTAATAAAATGTATTTTGAGAATAAGACGGCCTTCTGACCTTTTAGGGTCTAGGGCTGTAAAGTGTCTCAGGGTTGCTGCCAAATGAGCCATGAACTGGGCTGGATTTTTATATTTGATGAAAAAGAGACTAAATGCTATCTGATTTGGGATAAAGAAAAAGGATCACTAACCTTGACTATGCCTTTAGCTCCAGCTACTTTTTAAGAGTAAATTGCTGGGCAGGTGGGGGAGGCCTAGTCACTGAACGAAACTGTAAGCCAGACCAGGTGTGAGGAGGGGAGGTGATAAAAGGATTATAGGGTGGAGGAGCGGAGGCTGAGGAAGAATTGGGACCTAGCTCAGCCTGGCGAGGAGGGGAGAGGTCAGATGGGTCTGTAGAAAAAGAAGATTAGAAAGACTCAGTGATGCTTGGGGTTGGGACTGAGGGGACAGGTGGGAGGGAAAGAAGGAAGATTTGGGACAAGTTGCATTGGGAACTGAAACTAGGGAGGCACCCATGTGTAAAAGAATGCCTGGACGTCAGGCACCTCAGACCATTTGCCTGTTTTACGAGAAGAATTATTTAGATCTTGTAGGATGGAAAAATTGAAAGTGCTGTTTTCCGGCTATTTGGAACTACTGTTGAGTTTGTATTGGGGTCAAGCAGCATTGCAGAAGAAAATAAGATGCCTAGATTTTAGGTCAGGTGAGAGTTGAAGAGGTTTTAAGTTCTTAGAACACAGGCTAAGGGAGAAGAAGGGGGAATGGAAGGTGGAAGCTTGCCCATAGTGAAGAAGGCAAGCCCAGAGAAAAGAGAGTAGAGACAGGGAGAAGGGGTGGGGGGTTCTTGCCTTTCAGAAAAGCAGAGAAGAGGTCGGGGCATGGAAATAACAGGTTGGGGCACAGAGATAAGAGGTCGGGGCACATAAATAAGGGATCGGGGTGCAGAGATAAGAGGTCGGGATTCCTGCCCCTCCCCTAGAAAAGCGGGACTTGCCGCTAAGGGTGAAGGAGAAGGGGTTGAGGGGTTCTTGTCTCTCCCCCAGAAAAGCAGAGAAGGGATAGAGACATGGAGAGAAGGAGTTGGGGTTCTTGCCCTTCCCCCAGAAAAGTGGGACTTGCTGCTAAGGTTGAAGAACCAAGGCAGGAGTCCCTGCATGGTCTGACACTTCTGAAACCTGGGTGAATAATCAGAGAGGCATCCCTGCAGTGATTAAACACCAAGGGAAGGCTGCCTTCCCTAGTCCTTGACCAGCACTGGAGTTTTGGGTCCACGGATGAAACGTGTCTCCTTTGTCTCTACCAGAAATTGAAAGGAATTGAAATTAAGAGAAAGGAGAGATTGAAGTGTGGCACCAAGATTGAAAGGAGAAAGAGGTTGTGGGATAGTGAGGGAGGTTGGAGAAGAGAGTAAAAAGAGGCTGCTTACCAGATTTGAAATTGGTGAGATGTTTCTTGGGCTGGTTGGTCTGAGGACCTGAGGTTGTAAGTGGATCTTTCTCATGGAGCAAAGAGCAGGAGGACAGGGGATTGATCTCCCAAGGGAGGTCCCCTGATCCGAGTCACGGCACAAAATTTCATGCGCGTCCATGTGACGAGATCACCAAACAGGCTTTGTGTGAGCAAAAAGGCTGTTTATTTCACCTGGGTGCAGGCGGGCTGAGTCCGAAAACAGAGTCAGCGAAGGGAGATAGGAGTGGGGCCGTTATATAGGATTTGGGTAGGTTAAGGAAAAAGGGGGGTTGTTCTCTGGCAGGCAGTAGTGGGGGTCACGAGGTGCTCAGTAGGGGAGCTTTTGAGCCAGGATGAGCCAGGAGAAGGAATTTCGCAAGATAATGCCATCAGTTAAGGCAGGAACAGGCCATTTTCATTTCTTTTGTGGTGGAATGTCATCAGTTAAGGCAGGAACCAGCCATCTGGATGTGTACTTGCAGGTCACAGGGGATATGATGGCTTAGCTTGGGCTCAGAGGCCTGACACCTGGTATCATAGTTAATTCAACCACTTTCCTCTAGGACATTTAGATTATTTCCAGTATTTTACAGCTGCATATGATGCTTCAGTATATACTGTGTTGCATTTGGATTTTCATGCTATTGAAGGTGTATCTTCCTAGAAGTGGAATAGCTGAATCAAGAGTAAGTCAATATACAGGCTGTTGGATATTATCAAATTCCCAAAGGCTTGTTTTAGTTTGCTTTTTCAATTTGTATCTCCCTTTGACTCAAAAGTTGTTTTATGAAGTGAGTTTTAGTCTCTAGGTAAACATGCCACTTTTCTATTTCTATTATTCATTATTTCCAGTTCTATGACATGATTATACAGTATATTTTTCATAGTTCCAATTCATGGAATTTAATGTTTTCATTGTTACCTAATCTATGACTAATTTGTGTGAATATCTCATGTACACTTAACAAAGTGTGTTCTCTTATCAGACCATAGACACATTCATATGTGCACACACATTAGTAATCGCCATAAAATCTATATTATTTACTGTGCTATTTGTGCCTTAATTGTCTGGCAAATACATTTTGTGTCCACTTACTAAGTCTTTTACATAGAATTGTGTATTACATTTCCAATAATTATTGCATTTTTCTCTGTGTCCTTGTAGTGCCCATAGTTTTTGTTCATAACATTTGTAGTGCTAGACGATCTATTGGGTTTTGTTTCTGAGGGTTATTTTTGGTGAATAGCAACTGTAAATATAATGTTTTTGTTGTAAATTTTTTCTTTTTGCTTTAAAAAGTGACTTTTCTTGTCATGTTTAATGTTTGTGGCTTGATTTCCACTTATCTGATGTCAAGACTGTTACAACTGTTTTAAAAAATTATTTTGTTTGGTATGCTCTTGTCCATTCCTTCTAAATCACACTATTTTGGATGTATATCTGGTATACAACATATGACTTTGTCGAGCTTTGTGAGCCATGATAAAATACTTTTTCTTTTATTAAGTTTAGCTATTCACATTTATTTTTATGACTGATATATATCTTTAAGTCTACAATGCTCTTTTATACTCGTGTACTTTAACTATTATGCTTTTTTCCCCTCCTTAATGTATATTTTTTCCTCTTTTATTTAAAACTATGTTTTAATACACAGGAATGTTTGGTTTACTGATTATTGAAAGCCTTTAGTTTCTGTTTTCCAATTTAAAATTTTACTATGTCTATTACTTTTTTTAAGGTTTAATTTTAAATTTGACAATGAATATTTTACTGAGGTTACAGGTAACTCTTTGAAATGCTTAGATAAATCTGGAAAGCATTATGCTTAAAGAAAGAAGAGAAACAAAGAAAAGTAGAAACTGTATTGTATTTATAAGAATTCATAGAACAAGTAAAACTAATCCATGTCGAAAGGAAGGGGAGTATTAGTTTCTTCTGAGAAGAATTTTGACTGGGATGGCCAGAGGGAAGCTTCTCGGATGATGAAAGTTTTCTATTTCTTGATAGCTGCATACATTTCCCAGGTCTATGAATTTCTTAAAACTAATTAAATAATACACTTGAGATTTATTCATTTCATTTCACTGTATGTAAATTTACCTCAATTAAAATGTGTGTGTGCATAGAATTTTAAGTCATTAAAATTTTTAGCCATAAAAATCTGTACATTATTTTGGAATTGATAGTACAGGTTAATCAACATTACATTATAACAGAACAAATTATTTCCTATAAGTCATATAAATATCTCTGTAATATTTATTGGCTTTTATGTGCTATTTTATGAATATTTCAAAAACAGATAGTGGGATGTTTAAAATAGTAAATATAGTAACAGTATAAAATATTTTCAAATTATTAATATCATTCTAAGCTATCATAAATTCAACTAATGGAGAAAAGTTATTGTAACTTCTTTATACAAAAGAGGCATATGAATGTGTCCTTTTCTAATAAACAGGAAGATATTCCTAGTCCCAAGATAATGTACTACAAACATCCTACAAATGTATTTTTTGCAATACTTGATAATATAACCATCCAATTTGTTTTAGTTAATATGTCTAAAATTAAATTTTAATTTCTAACTCCTGGACTATAGCATTCTGAGAAATAATAGTTACCTGTCCAATTGCAAAAGTGAAGTGTACTATTATATTGCATTAGCTTCCTTTCGTCTTGTTTCCTATATTCCTATTCACTTGAACGATATTATTAAGTTCCAAAGCTGATTATATGGCTTGCTTTGTGAACAGAGACAGGGAGCATTTCAGACAGCTGAAAATAATGGTCTATTTGGTTTTCAGTGAAATACTTAATCTATCATCTCCTTTGAAGAATATACACCACATATTAGAATTAAAATGTTCACTAGTTTAAACACTGGAAAACCAAGAATCAGTTAAAATTTTAGATATTACCTTTAAAAAAAAACAATTTTAGTATTTTGGCTTCCTACTCACAAAATTAAAGTTTTTAAAAGTATTACCAATCATTAATTATGAGTAGAAGAACAATAATGTCCTCTCTTTTCTATTGTGATGTGAACTAAAAGAATGTACAATGCAGAAAATAGTTATTCTAATACACTATGTGATCTGAAGAAAAATTGTTATATTGAAATTAGTTTTAACATGTAATTATCAGAATCAGCCCTTAAGTGTGACGTTTGTGAAAATATACTTTAGTAATTATTAAATAAAACATAAATATCAGTTTTATTGATCATAATCTTGATATGCATAAATTTAATGTTAATTAAATGCTTCTAAAAATTAATCTGACATATTCAATAATATTTATGTAACATTGAGCTGCTTTCAATTATGATATACTTAATAGGTATATAATATTGATGATGTAACATCTTTAATACAAATACGAAGTTCATAGAGCTTTCCATTTTAGCCTAGTAGTTTTCAGCAAAATCATCTTTCTTTTCATGCTCTCACATTAAAAATACTAATCCTTGCATTTTGTTTGCATAGAAGTAGCCTACTTTAGGTTAGTGAATTCCCAGGTGAATGCATGGGTTTGGTCAGCATCAGCTACAAGTTCAAGTATGGGATATATATGGGATTTTCTAGGACGGATGCTGACTAAACAGTTCCAATGGAAGCAAGCACAAGATGGAGTGCTTAGGAAGTGCCTGCTTGATGCTGTCCAGCAGTGTACTAAAATTGCACTCATTCTAATTGCCTCTTCCATTATTATTACAAACACATGAAGCAAGTAACACACATGTAACTTTCTTCTTCCACCATCTTTTCCATGATCATTTTAAATATATGATTTCTGAATTCTCAGCTGGCAAGCAATGTCAAGAAAAAGAGATGTTAGCGTTCTTGTTTTGAAGTAGGCTTTGTCCGCAGTGGAAAGGGACCTGCAAAGGTCCAGTGATATTTACATTCTCCAGATTTTTTTCTGTGTCCACCAGCCTACTACACCTCAGATACCCTTCTGCCGCCTTCCCCTGTTCAAGGAACTCAACACCTCTCACCCTATTCCTCTATTTATTGTTCCTGATGCCCAGTTCCAAAAATATGTGAAGCATAAAGTCCAAAATCTCAGCAGTGCACTGCTTAAAGTAGTGAAAATATAATTTATGGTAAAGAAAAAATAGATCTAAGTGTTAGAAAGATAATGTGAAAATAAAAACTGGAGTTCCCAGCCTTAAAGCAGAGACAAAGTAAATTAGACAGGAGTAACTAAGGAACATGGATAGGAGAGCATCTCATGTTCCTTTTCAACCCACATTAAAAAGAAAAAAAGGAAAAAAAAGATTACTTTGGGGGAAACAACTGACAAAAAAAAATTCTACATCAAATATTAGGGCTAATTATCCTTAAAAAATACCAACAACAGATTATAATAATTTACAAGATATTAAATACTTTTATCCCCAAATTAAGGAGGTTTACAATTATAACATCTAGGTAGCTAAATGAAGTAGTGTAAATGGTATGAAGAGCAAATAAACAAGATAAGCTACATTACCTACCGGGGAGAGATTAGAAAGAATGAGAATCTTGTTGTAAGAAAGACAAACTCATATTTATATTAGTATTATTATATTAGTATTATTTTTTAAGTTTTACTTTAAGTCCTTGAATACATGTGCAGAACGTGCAGGTTTGTTACACAGGTATACATGTGCCATGGTGGTTTGCTGTATCTAACAACCCATTATCTAGGTTTCAAGCCCCACATTCATTAGTTATTTGTCCTAATGCTCTCCTTCCCCTTGCTCTGCAACCCCCAACAGGTCCTGGTGTGTGATGTTCCCCTCCTTGTGTCCATGTGTTCTATTGTTCAATTTCCACTTATGGGTGAGAACATGGCTTTCTGTTCCAGTGTTAGTTTGCTGCAAGTGATGGCTTCCAGCTTCATCCATGTCCCTGTAAAGGACATGAACTCATTCTTTTTTATGGCTGCATAGTATTCTATGGTGTATATGTGCCACATTTTCTTTATCCAGTCTATCATTGATGGGCATTTGGGTTGGTTCCAAGTCTTTGCTATTGTAAATAGTGCTTCAGTAAACATATGTGTGCATGTGTCTTTATAGTTGAATGATTTATAATCCTTTGGATTGCTGGGTCAAATGGTATTTCTGGTTCTTGATCCTTGAGGAATTGCCACACTGTCTTCCACAATGGTTGAACTAATTTACAGTCTCACCAACAGTGTAAAAGCATTGTTATTCAGTTAATTATATCTAACATTTATATTTGGTTATTGATATGTTCTGTTCTCTCTCTTTTTCTCTCTCTCCCTTTATTCCAGTTAGTCTTCCTCTCGTTCTTAGTCATAGTAGGTTTATTTCTATTTATGACATCCATGTTAGCCTGCTTAATATTTTATTAACATGTCTTATATAGAATAATATATTTTAATTATTTTTAAACTACTTAAAGTTGTCAATTGGATTACATAAATATCTTCTCAAAATTTACATAAAATAATTTACATAAGTAAATAAGTTCTCAGAAAAGTATGATACTTTTCTTCAAATTTTATTCATTGTTTAATGTTAATACAACCAACATTACAAAGTAGAACCATATCTTATAAATTAGAGTAGGAGTGGTAAAAATAAAGACGAGCAGTAACAAAGTATCTCTCAGGGATTCACAAAAAGAGTCTTTCTCATACATTTCTGGTAGAAGTGTATATTATTACAATAGTTCTGTTTTACAAAGGAAATAATACAGAGATAGCTATTAAAATTAAAACAATAAATATACCACAACCTAGAAATTTAATTCTTAGTAATCTCTCCCATAGAAAAAAACCAGTAATAAAAAATACAGGTATGTGATTGTTTTATTATACCATTGCTTAAGTTAAAAAGAAAAACTAAGAAACAACGGAATAGCTATTAACAGGATTCAACTTCGGAAAAATATACGGCTTATCTAAAATATATGTTTTACATATTAATTAAAATAGTGGTATTTCTAGAAGGCAATGTTAAGAAAGAAATTGTGTAGTAAATTACATAAATTGTAACCTTATTTTAAGATATGATTCGTTAACCAGTCCCTCTATATTAATTTTTCACATTTTTAGTTTTCATATTATTAGGAAGAAAGCTATGGTTGGATTTATATAAAACACTTATTGAAATTTTAACAATTAATTACCTATGTTAAGTATATATAGTATTTGTGTGTTTGTGTCTTACAAAAATATTATCATGCAGTACAATAATGCTTGGCAAATATTTTCTATACAGAGTCTGGAAGTAATTGTTTTATTTTTGTTGGCTAAATATGGTTTCAATGGCAGCAGCATCTCCTTTTCTTTATTCTTCTTCCCTTTCTCCCCTTTTCTACTCTATTTAATAAAAAAATCACTTTTTAATTTTGTGTTATTATGGTAAGGACACTTCACATAAGAGCTATCCTCTTAAGAAAATTTTAAATGCACAGTACAATATTTGTATTATTTATCTTCTTAGATCAAGGAATGTGCAAGAACAAGCCATGGGCAAAATTTGTCCAAGAGGCCATCGTTTGCCAACACCTGCTGTAGCTGTATTATTATTTAACGTGCTTTTCTTCCCTCAAAACTATATTTTATTGACCTCTCCTTTTTTAAATTATAAATTTCTATAACTTTTTTGCCACTGTTAACTACTCTGTTGTATGTAATGATTACTTTATTTTAAAGTAATTCCTGTAAATCAACATAGAACGACATACTAAAAATAATACTTCATTGAAAATATTTTATACTTTCGACATACTTGTAAAAGAATGACCACAGACAAGTTAAATATACATATATTTCATGTATTTAGGTCTCTTTCTCTGAACACTCTTATTCTTCCTTTCCCCTCTACCTGATCTCTGCTGTTTTAAGGAAAAAGAAAAATGTTCAATATACTGTGGAATGTCAAGAAAGGGAGGGACCCAAACTTTTATGATTCTGTTGAATACAAACATTCAGGTAATCATTCCGCTTAGATCTGGTCATCTTGCTAAGACTGCCACCTGGTTACTTTGGGTTCCTCATACCTCTGAATCAACAAGGTTTGGAAGTGGCTGGATTTGGCTCATACATTTGGGCAGGGGTCACAATGTAAGAGGGAAATTCAGTGTACTTGCAGGTGAGTGTTAGGTCTAGCACTGTGAAGGATATTAGAAGGGACTCTACTTGCAACCTAACCAGTAGCTTGCCAATGGTAGAGAGACAGATTAGATAGATTAGGTAGATAGATAATAGATAGATAGATGATATGGTAGAGAGACAGATTCGATAGATTAGGTAGATAGATGATAGATGATAGATAGATAGATAGATAGATAGATAGATAGATAGATAGATAGATAGATAGATGATAGATACTATTAAAATACTTATACAGAAAAACCCCAGATCTCTGGATCAGGGAACATACCTTTCTTCCACAGAGCATCTGGGTCCTATTTCTCATGCCCTAAATCTCCAAGCACCAAGTAATGAGAACCAGATGTGTCTGTGAATGCAGGAGTATACATCACACTGAGAAAATCACAAAATTGTGAAGCTCCAAGCTTTTACAGAAGCTTTTACATCAGCCTTACAGGCTGATGTTTGTATTACACTTTGCAAGGTGAGCAAATATCTAGTGGGGAGCTATCACTAAATCTCTCTGAGACCTCGGTCTTTAACTTCTAAGGATTATTTGCCATTCAATCACCCTTTAACCCAGTGCCAGTTCTCTTTACCCAGAAAGGCCTAATGGAGCAGAAACATGAAAATACCTATGGATCATTGAATCCAGAAAATGGGGATCCTTGAGCCAATTAATGTAATATTTTCCTTACTTTTGCATTTGAATATATACCAGAAATTGATGTGTCATATGCTTGAACTTCTCCACTCCATATTTGCCAGAGAAGATTATCCCAACAATGAGAGAGCTGCAGATAGAAAGATGCTACTGAAGCCAACTCCCCTGCCATCTGCCACTAGGTGGATCAGGATTTGCCATGAGTGCCTCTATCCTCTAATGTTTAAGGCACTTACTATACGGATGATGTACTGTCAATTGGTTCATCAGAAACTTTAGTGTTGAAGGCCCTAACTGTAGTGCAATCACCCTTCTTCAGCATAGGCTACCAAATTTTAAATACCAAACAGCCTTGCTATTTAAAAGTTGAGAAGATGTGAGTGGATTCACAACGATGAGTTTGATATTCAGGGGAAATCTTTCCTCTTTTTGGCTCCAGCATCAAAAGGGATGCCCAGCAACCTATTAAATACTTTGAGTGTTACAGATAGTACAAATCTCTACAACTTATAATTTTTCAAATGTCAGCCTCTGGTAAAGGGAGACAACCTCCACCTCCGAGAGGTGCCTTTTGGAGTTTTAGACTTTTGGCCTCCTTAACATAGCTACCAGGTGCACTGCTTTTAGAAAACAACTATTAGCTTGCTACTGGGCTCTTGCTGAAACTGAACACCTGACCTATAAAGGGCTTTTTGCTCTCTGGCCTGAAATTCTCATTTGTGAAAGGTCAAATCGGACTCAATGACTAACAAGGACACAAACATCCTAACTTAGGAATATAAATGGTATACTCAAAAACATAGCCTACACGACCCCAGCAACACATTGGCTTTGAATGAAAGAAAAGTGACTGGCTGGGCACAGTGCCTCATGCCTATAATCCCAACACTTTGGGAGGCCAGGGCAGAAGGATCACTTGAGCCCAAGAGTTCGAGACCAGCCTGGACAGCATAATGAGACCTCTTCTCTATGACATTTGTTTAAAGAGAAACAATTAGTTTGGTGTGGTGGTACACACCTGTAGTCCCAGCTACTTGGGAAGTTGAAGTGGGAGGATCACTTGAGCATAGGAGTTTGAGGCTGCAGTGAACCTCCAGCCTGGATGACAGGGTGAGACTCTGTCTGAAAAAAAAAAAGAAAAGAAACAAAAATGGACAGCTGTCTCACTGGAAAGAAACAAAAATGGACAGCTATCTCACTGGAAAGAAAAAAAAAAAAACTGTCCTTCCCTGCTTTGCCTAAAAAAAAGCTACCGGGTCAACTAGATCCTCCATTCATTGGCCTAAGTGCCAGAGGCTGGCTCCTTGATAGCATGACTAAACTAAAACCCTGTGTCCAGTGGTTTTGCTTCCATTATAGTTGTGGGTTATTTACTTTAGACTCTAGAATTGTTGCCAGTGGTCTAGCTTTTTGGACTAGCCACTTGGAAAACTACAGACTATGTAATTAAACATAGTAATGCAGTCTGAAAACTAAATAAATGAATTACAGCTACTGATGGAAATATCTGACCTGTTTGTCTCATGATGCAGAGGCCACATAACCATGGGCATTTCCCACTCCCACTCTTGGCAGACTGACTACATCAGAACTTCCAGCTCCTTGTTAGACTATTAGGGGAGCCTTACTACTGTGTGTGTGTGTGTGTGTGTGTGTGTGTATGTGTGTGTGTGTGAAAGAGAAAGAAACATATTCGTAAGAAACTAATGTTCAGAGTAATTACAGTCCTTTTATCTATAATTGTTTAGATGGTTGCAGTTGGTCTTTATACCTACATTCTCTCACTACCTATTCCATATTTCCTTTGCCTTCTGCAACTACAGCAGCTGATTATGGTTCTTTACCTGGTGAGGTAACCCAAGGTTTAATTCCTGAAATGTTGGGGCCATTAGTAGTTTTGCCTTGATTAGGTTTTTGTAATTTTTCATTGGCTTTAATCACAAGGCATGATAATACAAAGAGACACACTAAGGGATCACCCGTATTTCAGAAATACTTTCCTTTCTTCCATTATATAATAAAAGAATTGTCCAGTTTCCCCTTGGTAGCCAGGGTCTTTTACCCTAGCCAACGCCGTAACTCTCTTCCTTGCTTGTTGCTTTGGAGGTATGAGAAGCCTAAAGTGACCACGTGGCAGTCTTAGCTTACAGTTCTGTGGAATTCTTGTTGTGTCTCCTGGTGGAACCATTCCTCCCTCTGGAAGTAACACCTCCAGTCCAGCAGAGAATGAAGTCCTGGAAAAATAAAACAAAAATGTTGTTAGTGTGTCATTTGGGGTAATAATGAGTGGTAACACTCTCATTTCCACCGCTTGATTTCTGGACCTGTTAATCCTGGCTATTGGAGACATAGCATCATATGTTGCACACTGATGTATTTGCACATAGCCAGTGCTGTAACAGAATCTTCAACAGGCCATTCCAGTGTTCTATCCAGGCAGCTGATTCAGGATATTAGGGAATGCATTAAGAACAATAGTCTTTGAACATGGCCCTATTGCTGCAATTGTTTTGCTGTAAAGTGAGTTCCTTGATCAGAAGCAATACTGTGTGGCTGTGTGGAACATCATGATCATAATTACATTCTGTAATTCCATAAATGGTAGTTTTTGCAGAAGTACTGCATACAGGAAAGGCAAGTTCTAATCTAGAGGAAGTGTCTATTCTTGTAAGGACAAAACCTTGTTCCTTCCATGATGGAAATGTTCTAATGTATTCAAACTACAACCAGGTAGCTGGTTGACCACCTCAGGGAATGATGCCATGTCAGGAGATCAGAGTTGGTCTATGCTGCTGAAAATTGGGCACTCAGCAGTGACTATAACCAGATCAGCCTTTGTGAGAGGCAGTCCATATCCCTAAGTTCACCATAACTTCCATCCCTGATACCATGGCCACTTTGTTTATGAGCCAATTGAGTGATGATAGGTAGTTGGGAACGAGGCTGATTGATATCTACAGAACAGGTCATTCTACCCATTTGATTATAAAAATCCTTCTCCTGTCATGTTACCCTTTGGTGACCATTTACATGGGACAAAACCATCTTCACGGTTTTTACCTATTCAGTAAAATTTATCCATGAGTTTTTTTCCCCAAGTATCTTGATCACTAATTTTCTGATAATGTTTCTACCAAGTCCCTGACTATCTAGTCAAATTATTGGCCACAGCCCATGAATCAATCAGTGTATAATAGCACATCTTGCCATTTCTTCTTTGGAGCAAAGTACAGAACAGATGGATTGCCCCAAGTTCTGCCAACTGGGAGGAATGGTCTTTACTACTGTCCTTTAAGGATATCCCAGAGATGACTGGAGTCTGCAGCTATCCACTTTTTGGTGTTGCCTACAAATCCTGCAGAACCATCTGTCAACTAGGCTGAGTCTTCTCTTTTTTATGAGTGCATAGGCACAGACTGAGAGGGAGGGCAGCATAGTAAGAGTTAGACTGTGGGCATAAAGGCCACCTGTTTATGCAACCTATTTGTTCCCTCAGGGCTTGCTCATATATATAAATACAAATTATATTTGATGATGGACTATTGCTGTGCAAGCCTAACTTTATGGCTTGGTAGGTCAGAAAATACCCAGTTAATAATAGGCAGCTCAGATCTCATGATAACTTGTTGGCCCCTGGTTAAGCATTAAATCTCTACTAAGGCCCAAGTAGTTGAAGAAGGCGTGGAGCAAGATGGCAGAGTATCACTCTTTTCAGTGATCAGCCCTTTCCAGAAATATCAATTTGAATAATCCACGCAAAAAAAAAGACCTTCACAAGAGCTAAGAAAACCAGGTGAGATTACAGTATTGGGTTGTAGCACAATAAATAATAAGTAAAGATGCATTGAAGAGAGTAGAAAGGACAGTTTTACATTATCTGCTTTACCCCTCCCCCAGCCTCAGGTAACACAGTGTGAAAAGAGATACCATCCACCTGGAGAAAAGAGAGGAAAATGAGCACAGAACTGTGTCCTACACCTCAACACTGGGCCTGCCACAGTAAAAGCCAGCACCAGGCAAACCCCTATGACCCTAAACTCCAGATAGGCAGGCTTCTATTGAGCCTCTAGACCTTCCCCAGTGCCTGGTGGAACCACACAGTCCTAGGCTTCAGGCTTGTATGGCAGACTGAATCTCCTATCTGCACAGCCACTGGGCTGACTTCAGTAACTTGGGCTCCAGGCAGCTGTCAGTAGTCCCAGCCTTCTGGCACACCCAGCACTGAACCAGTCACATCTGCCCTGAGTTACTGGCATGTCCAGCTCTGCACCAGCCACATCTTCCCCAGGCTCTGGCACACCTCAGCACCAATAACTCCATAGCAAGAAACAAAGTAAACAGATCAAAAAGTGATCAAAAGGAATGTTTGTAGATTTCTCAAAAGAAGATATATGAAGGGCCAATAGGTATTTGAAGGAAAATGTTCAACATCACTAATCATCAGAGAAATGCAAATCAAAACCACAATTATTACCTCACTCTTGTTAGAACAGCTATCTTTTCAAAAAGCCAAAAGATATTACCTAACTCTTGTTAGAACAGCTATCTTTTTAAAAAGCCAAAAGATAGCCAATGTTGACTTGGATGTAGAAAAAAATTGTGCACTATTAGTGGGAGTATAAATTAGTATAGCCATTATAAAAAACAGTATGGAGGTTTCTCAAAAAATTAAAACTAGAACTACCACATCATCCAGTAATTCCGGTACTGGGTAAATATTCAAAGGAAATTAAATGAGTGCATTGAAGACAAATCTACACTAACACGTTTATTGCAGCATTATTCATAATAGCTAAGATATGTTATCAACTTAAGTGTCCATCAATGGATAAATGAATAAAGAAAATGTAGTATATACAGAAGGAAATGCTATTCAGCCACAAAAAAACAATGGAAATCCCATCATTTGTGACAACATGAATGAACCTTGAAGATATTATGTTAAGTGAAATAAGCCATACGCAGAAAAACAAACAGTGAACAATTTCGTGAATTGATCTCATAGAAGTAGAGTATAATGGTGATTATAGGGGCTGGTGTGGTTGAAGGAGGTCTTGAGAAATGTTGGTCAAAGGACGCAAAATTTTTGTTAGATAGAAGGAATAAATGAAAGAAATCTATTGTACACCATGGTGACTATGGTTGACAATATATTCTATTCTGAAAAATGCTAAGAAAATAGATGTAAAATGTTCTGATCACAAAAATAATAACTAGGTAAAGAAACACATATGTTAAGTAGGAAGATTTAGTTATTCCACAGTCTATACATACTTCAAACAATATGTTGAACATGGTACATACATATAATTTTATCTGTCAATAACAATTTTAAAAATTTAAAAGCTTAAAAAATTAAACTAAAATTTAAAAACATTAAAATAGTTACCTGCAGATGATGACAGAGCCTTGCTAAAATTCCTAAAGGCCTGTGCTACAATTCATCAACAGAGTCCTTCCAAAGGCTCCAAACAGCATCCCTATCTGCCACTGACACTCGAAACACCATTGGATCACATGGTTTAAGTGGCAGAGCAGTTTGCACAGCACCCTGGAGACTTATCACAAAGCCTTCTCTTGTTCTGGGCCCCATTCAAAACTAGCAGCTTTTTGAGTCACTTGGTAAATGGGCCAGAGTAACACAGCCAATGAGGAACATGTTGCTGCCAAAATTCAAAAAGGCTCACTAGGTAGACATTGTGCCTCTTTCTTGGTTAGAGGAAGAGCCAAATGCAACAACCTATCCTTCCCCTTAGAAGAGCTAGTCATTAAAACTAATGGCAACAACAGCAATTACTTTTGCCTCAACCTAATAGTTCTACATGACCAACACCATTGGACTCATAGAAATTTTACTGACATTGAAGATCTTTAAATTTTAGTCAGATTTATTTTCCACTCTCTAGAGTTCTTGCTACTTTATGCCCACCAGCTCCAATCAGCATATGTACCAATGTAACAGACAAGTGTGAAATCTTACAGAAGGGAAAGGTGATCAAGGTCCATGCAAACCAAATTATGACGTAAGACTGAAGAGTTGATATACTCCAATGTAGGACAACAAAGATATATGGCAGGCCTTGCCAGTTAAAAACTGACGGCTTCTGGTAGGCCTTATTAACAGGAATGAAAGAAAATAAATGTGCCAGGTCAATAGCTACATACTAGGTACCAGGATATGTGTTAATTTGCTCAACCAAAAAAAAAAAAAAAAAAAAAAACCACGTCTGGTACAGTAGGTGCAATTGGAATTATGACCTGGTAAAGACTATGATAATCCAAAGTTATCCAAGATCCATCTGTCTTCTGCACAGGCAAAATAAAAGAGTTGACTGCGAATGTGATGGAGATTACTACTTCTGCTTTTTTTTCTTTTAAGTCCTTGATAGTGGCACTAATCTCTATAATTCCTCCAGGGATGTGTTATTGCCTTTAGTTTACAATTTAATGAAAAAGAAGTAATGGCAGTGATAATGGCTTCCCAGTTGCTCTTTTCTACCATAGTAGCACAAGTCATGGTCCTAAATGGAGACTCTGCCAGGTGCTAACTTTGTCTTTTCCAATTATGCACCTGCTACCGGAGAAATGACCACAGGGTGGATTCAGGGACCAACTATGAGACAGACATGATCGAAAACTCCATGGCTCACCTGACCTCCATAAGCTCTTACTCTGATTGGTGGCCAGAGTGACATTTTGGGTTTCCTGGAATTTGTGTCAGTTCAGAGCCAGTGTGCAGTAATTCCCAAAATGTCTGGTTACTTCCTTTTCTCCTGTGCAGTAATTCTGATAAAAGGCTGTAGGTCCCTTTGCAGAAGTCTGGGAAAATAATTAACAGTATTGATTATTGACAGTATGCTAGGGCCCTTCCTCAAGACGACAAGCCTCCCCTTCATTTAGGAGTTTCTGAGTCTGCAAGTTGGCCCACGTTAGAAAATTGGATGAGGGGCCATGACTTTTTGTTTTTATAATTGAAATCAGACTTTTTTCACTTGACCTAGAAATTTCTCCTTATACAAATCAAATAAGAGTTTAGTAGGCTATCTATTTATCCTCTAGGAACATAATGATCAACCAGCCAAAGCCATAGGTCTGTACAAATTAGACTATTCTGATGGTTGCTTTGACTCTGCTGTTCATTATGGTAACCAGGTCCACTCTGCCTTTGGCACTTAAGAACTACCACAAGACCACCCCCACACCCTGGGATTTAATTACTCTCACTGAATGTAGATATCCCGCTTCAGTGGCTGCAATTCCCACCCTAAGTTCTGCTCTACAGAGAAGAACAATCACAGAACTCTTCAAGGATGACAGGGTTCCACTGAAAAAATTATTTCTCACCATTTAAGTAAAAGGTGCATCCTCTGGACTCTCCTGGGGTGAGTTAATAGGTTTTAAATGACAAATAACTCTAATATTTCAATCTCCCAAAGCCTTTGAATCTCTTCCTCTATAGTTTACCAAGGGAGTTCTGACATTTCAAGTTTATTTACTGTGGACCACTTTTGGTTTGTTTCAGCCAATGAACCAAACAAACTAATTCCCTCTCCTATACCATTAAATGCAGAATATCTTCTAAGTGAGCCCAAAGAAATTCTACCTTTATGTTCCTTCCATCAGTATCCCACACTGTTAATATTCATTCACATATGCATTCTCTGGATTTTTCTCTACATATATTATTAAAATAAAGAAGTTATTTTGGAGCATAGCATACTTCCTCATGGTTCACACCTTGTACCCCACCTTTAGGGGCTTCTGGGACTTATGTCTAGTTATAGGTCTAAAATAAAGAGGGTTGTTGAGGGTGGGTCATGAAAAAATCATCAGTGTCTTCCAAGGCAACTGCCTCAAGGGACGCCATAAAAGTTTCTTTAGAAATAAAGAGCAAATGTTCTCAGAAGGAGGTGGAGATGATGCTTCTACTGGCACAGAATACTCATCAGGATTAAATGGTTCAGTCTTGACCTTCATCAGTATCTTCTCATATGTCTCCATTCAAATTTTCAGAAATGCAATTCTTCCCAATCAATGCCCTTATTTTAATAGACAGCTCCCTGAGAGGTTGGGAATTCTACCTGCATTGTTATTTAACCACTTGCATTATGAGACTCTGCATTTGGTTTTTATCTGTCTCAGTTCTGAGGCCACAGGAGATAAGAATCTTTTTCAGGCAGACATAGAAGCTTTCAGGTTATTTTTTGCAGCAAATGGGCTTGGGAATTTGAATACTTGATCTCACGCTGTTCCTTCCTGTTTGTCCAGTGACATTAGGAACAACAAGCACAACTGATTATAAGCATTATTTTGAGGAAATGTTCAAAGATATCATGAACATTGTCACCCAGACCCTCATAGACATGATCACTCAGAACCTTGCCTCTTATATGTGTCTGATTAGCAGTATCCAGTGGTGGTATTTTGCATATCTGTATTGCTGCATTATACCATGGACTGTCAGTGCACTCTTTACTACTAGAAATAGATTAATGTTTTTTAAATCTAATTGAATTGGAGAACCAATTGCAGAAACTCCACAGCCAATTTACAAATCAATACTTAAAATTCAGTTCCTCTAGAACCACTCCCAGTATCAAAATTTGTATTAGTTGGGGTTCTCAGTAAAAGGTAGCAAAAATGATGCATATATGTATAGAGAGACATTTATTTTAAGGAATTGTCTCATGTGATTATGGAGGCTGGCAAGTCCAAAATATGCAAAGTGGTCCAGGGAAAAGCAGTTCTTGATGTTCAGATTCAAATGCCATCTGCTGGCAAAGTTCTCTCTTCTTCTGGGGACTTCTGTCTCTTTCTATTTAGACCTTCAACTTATCACGAAGAGTAAACTTCAACACATTTTAGAGATTAATCTATATGCAAAGTCTACTGATCTTTCAGTGTTAATCTCATCTAAAAAATATATTCACAGAAACATCTAGAATAATGTTTGACCAAATATCCGGGTATTGTGGCCTAGCCTAGTTGACATACAAAAATAACTATCACATTGTCTTTGTAAGAAACCAGCTCCTGTATATATTATTTTTTCTCTAATTTCAAAATTATTGTTTGATCATTCATTATAGTTATTTATTTAAGTGATTATTTATATTAACACTTTATTATAAATCACTTCTAATTTCATTTGTGAGTATTTATTCTCAAACTTCTTTTTTTTTGAGACGGAGCTCTGTCTTCAGGCTGGAGTGCAGTGCCGCGATCTCAGCTCACTGCAACCTCCACCTTCCGGGTTCAAGTGATTCCCCTGCCTCAGCCTCCCAAATAGCTGGGATTACAGGCACGTGCCACCACGCCCGGCTAATTTTTTGTATTTTAGTAGAGACGGGTTTTCACCATGTTGGCCAGGATGGTCTCAACCTCCTGACCTCGTGATCTGCCCACCTTGGCCTCCCAAAGTGCTGGGATTACAGGCGTGAGTGACCGTGCCTGGCCTATCCTCAAATTATAAAAATCATTCCTAATTTTATTATTTGTGCCTGTTTCTATTTAAATATTTGAGGCTTTTAATGTTATGCTAGTTTTTTCTTTTTCTTTTTTGATAAAGCTTTTAGTATTTATTCTTTTATTAAATATATTTTTCACTGTAATATTAAAGTGAAGTTTATAATTTTCATATTCTTTTTAATAGAAATATTATTTAAGGTTCTGATTCTTAATTATAGCTAACTGTACATAGCCAAATTATCTGCATTTGACTTTTAATTTTTTACTTCAAATTTTATTGTTATATCCAAAGAATGTAATATATAATGTGACCATTTTCATTCATTTTATTCAGATTTTGTCTATTTAAGCTATTCAAATATTATTTGAGAAAGTGAAAAAAATTATATTAATGGGATGTGAAAGTGTGAAGGTACTAATAACATCAAAATTTTTAACAGCGTAGCCTATTTAATCTCTCTCTGAGGCTAGAACTTTATGAAATGAATGTGTGTGTGTGTGTATGCGTGTGTGTGTGTGTGTGTGTGTGTATTACAAGTGGCCTTTCTTACCTAAAAAATCCTTTCGATATTTTCATGCCTGCTTTTTCTTTCTATATTCATTTGCCTAACATTTCTTTCAATATGTTTTGAAACTTTATTTCCTTAAATGTGTTTTCCGTAAGAAAATTACTGATACTTTCATATTATCACTATCTGAAAAATTCCACCTATTCCCATTTTTTGTAATGATTGATGGACTTGACTATATTCTACTCATTTTAATTATTCTTTCTATTAAATAGTCACATTTATTATTCTCTTTTAAGTTTTATTATGTTGCTATTCATTCCAATTTGTCACCTTGCTTATTTAAAAATAATTCTATGTAGTCTATACAATTAATGCTTATCTTATTGACATACTCATAATTAGAGGCAGTCTCTTATTTTATTTTAAAAAAGCTAACCACTTCGTTTTGCCACCATAATAATCACTTTCTCCTTAAATCTTCTACTCAACTAAAATAATATCTTGACCATGCTGACTTTTGTCCTCTTTCTTCCCCTCACCTTTTACTAATAAGAGATTTAGGTTACTCTTTATTCCTGTTTCTACTGATATCCTTATGAGTGCCTGAGATAATTTAATATTTTTAGTTTTACATCACTAACAAAATTTTATTTCATTTTTTACTACTTTATAGATTTCTTATTTAGTACTCATACATATTATATTTTCCAAAGATATGATTAGCATGTTAGCTATAGCTATACTTACATTTCAAAGATCTATGATCTTGTTGTTTACTGTGTTCTTCATTTCTCATCATTTTGTGGTCTTGAATCAGAAGCATTTTTTATATGGTTAAAATGACATCTCCTATAATTTTCAGTTGATGTATATAAGGAATACAAACTCCAAATATTTCCATATTTTTTCTTTCTGAGGAATCAGTTATACTTTGACTGTTATATGATTAATATATGATTTCCTGTTTCATTTTTTTCTCCCTGAGCAACCAATAATACCTTGTTATGTGATTAATAATACTTTGTTATATATGACATAGATATCATATATAACTTTGTTATATGTTATATGAAATAATACTTTGTTATATGATTCAACATATGATTGCTTTTCTCTCAGAACACTCTGGGTTTTTTCATATGATAAAAACAAAATGCTGAAAATTATGTTTGATAATTATTTTAATTTTGATTAACAATTATAGAACTTTGCTATGCGATTAGATGAGGAACTTTAATTTTAGTCTACTGCTTATCTGGAAAATCAGAAGACGTGGCAGAAAGATTATAAAACACCTGAATGTGTAGGTCTGGGATAGGAAGGGCAAAGCAAATAAAATATGTTAAAATTGTAACAATCGTTCTTCCTATGGTTTATTTTAATAAGTTAATTTAAATCTTTTATTCCAAATACTACACAGTAATGTTTCAACAATAAATAGAGAAATCGGTTTAATGTAAACATAATCTTAATATTTTGTATCACCTGTTGTAATTTTTAAATTATGGATCTCTAAATAAGTTTCAAAAATTTCAATTCACATTTTAAGTTTTATTCAAGTCAATAAGTAAGAAAGTACATATTCTTTTTTATTCAAGTGATTTTTCTGTGTGAATATACATAACCTCAATAACCATGCTTGAGTCAGATTTAACAAACATTATAAAATCATATGTATCACACATATAATGCACATTATTTTATTACTATAATTTTCAAATAACAAAAATAAAAAATCTTGTTTTATACTTATTCGGATATTCTAATATTTACACATATTCTTAAATTATGTTTCATATGTACATATACACAATGGTTCTAATGTTAATGTTTAATTTACTGACGTTTGCATTATCCTGTTTTTCAGAAATACTTTGTTTGATAAAATAATCTATGCTCCTTTCTGTTAAACTATTTTAAGGATGGTTAGTGATAATGACTTTAACTCTACAGATTAAATCTATGATTGTTTTTAATTAGAACATACCAAAGACTATTAGAAATAGCTCAAGTTTTGATGATTCCTTTAAGACAACTTTCTGTTTCAGAAAACTAAAAATGCCTATTCTGTCATTTGACAGAGAAACTGGTAACATTAGGTAATGTATTTCAAAGAGTATAGTGCCATCTATTGGATAACATTCAGTCCCAAACTGTACTCAAGATATATTTTACATTTAAAGTATATTTTTGATGTAACAAAACCAAAAAAAAAAGGCCCAGGCTTTACCTAAATCGTCATTAAGTTTGTCCACATACCCCACAAAAATTCACATTGCCATTGTTTGATAATTTCATAGTGTTGCTGAATTACTACCTTCAAAACTAAGAGTAGATAAAAGATCAGGCTTTACTCATAGTGTTTAAGAAACAAAAAAGGCAAACTTGATAACTGTCTATTTTGAGGAATAATTTTTAAGGTTATATTCATTTATGAAATTGAATTTGTGCCTACAGAATTATTAACTTTAAAAAAAATTCACTGTTAAACCTGATATTATTAATATCAATATATCAATATAAAATTTCATAGGGAAGGCCAGGCAGTAATTCTTCATGTAAATATAAAATTTGCTGGAAAAAGAAAAGATAGGGTCAAAGAAGAAAAAGAGAACCTAGGACACAGAAAATATTTCAAAGAGAGAAAGAAATGTCAGCCTTTTACTTGGATTCAGGCCATCCAGATGCTTTATATGAGAGCGTTAGCTATCTTGCTATGCCCAAGTAAAATTAGAAATATTTTGTTTTGTGATTGCAACTACTTTAAGTCAGGATAACCCTTCTGAAAATTTAGCAAAACAGAGGCTGACTGTTGGTTTTCCTCAAGCCTGAGCTGCTTCTTTCCTTCACACATGACATTGAGGCTCTTATTTTATTGAAAAAATAGAGATGAGTAGTGTGTCCCAAGAAAGGCAATAAATGAGGAACTCACTCTAGTAAGTTATCTTTCTCTGTACATTTTTAGTGCCACTGTATAGAATTTAATTAAGTGGTGGAAAGCAGCCTTGAGGTCATTCAGAAAGAATATAATTATGGCACATTACAGACGTAGTCTAATCTAAATTATTTATTTTGTAAAGTGGAAAGTACTGCTATATTTAGGTCCAAGTGTTAGTGTTGGAGGTGGGGAGGTGAGTAGTTAAGTATGGAGTGCAGAATATATGCTAAATCTGAAAGCTAAAATATTTTATTTTTATTGCATAAATGCAATTTGTATGCAAAATATTTAAAAAGCAATGTAAAAATCCACAAAAATTATTTCTAAACATATTGATCAAACTGCCATTTAAAGGGCAGAATAGAAAAGTTTGTGTACTCCCAAATCTGTACTTCATTAGCTTATCTTACTGCCTATTCTTTATCTTTTGAATTTGGGTTAAACATGCTTACTAAGTTTATACATTCATTTATACATAAATTTGACCTTAAGTGACATTAAATTGGAATGAGTAGCATTGGGGATTTAACATTCAAAGAACTAAAGGGAAGTTTATAAAGACTTATTTCACTTTATCGGAAGCTAGTAAAAAATGTATAGTACATATGCTGTCATAATTAAGCAAATATTTTAATATATAAACAAACACACAATTTGATTCTCTAATTTCATTATGTAGTCAAGACACATTTTTATTATGCTATTTTATAGATAAGAGAAGCATGACATAACATTTGAATGATTCTCTCAGAATTCCATGAGAAGTAAAGCTGGTTCTTGAATTCAAGCCAAAAATTCCACTTCCCGGTTCTACATGTATGTCAGTCTGCTTCTAAGATTCCTGTTTTCACTATGTTTCTGTGATGGGTTAGACCTGTACATCCACACTTAAGAATAAGTACAGTTGATGTTCGAACAACATTGGCGTTAAGGGGGACTAACTTGCTGTACAGTAAAAAAATTCATGTGTAACTTTTGACTCTCCCAAGCCTGAAGTACTAATAGTCTACTGTTGTCCAGAAGTCATAATCAACCATAAACAGTTGATTAACACATATTTTGTATGTTGAACGTCTTACACATTGTATTCATAATATGAAGTATGCTAGAAGAAAAAATTAGAGAATCATAAGGAAGAGGAAATATATTTACTATTACTAAATGAAAGTAGATTATCATAAAGGTCTTCACCCTTATCTTCTTCATCTTGCCTAGGCTGAGGAGGCGGATGATGAAGAGGGGTTAGCCTTGCTGTCTCAGGGGTAGCAAAGGCAGAAGAAAATCCTCGTGTAAATGGAAAGGACAGCTCAAATTTGTGTTGTTCAAGAACCAAGTATACTTTATATCTGTTCAGGGGTATGACTACAGTAGTGAACAATAGCATGACAGTGGCTCTCAAGGTTTTTCATATCCTCTAGAATTTAAAAAAAATGAATTAAACATTATTCTGCAAATAAATAATAATAATAGTACTAGGATAAAAATTTGATCAACTGGGAAATATTTTGATTAATTATTATGGAAGTAAATAACTTTAGTCTGATTGTCATTGAATTTTTTCAAGTACTCATGTACTTAATTTATTTTTAGTTATATAAAAATAAAATGTTTCTATGTATGTATTATAAAAATCAGCCAGAAATTAAGTAATAACAATAATGTTACATTGCAGAACAGGAATCTGAAGAGGGTTTTCTGCTATGTGTGAAAATATTTTTGTTTGTATTATTTGCAAATACTAAGTTTATGGTATAGTGAAGAAAAACGTTTGTTTTTTCACTTAAAAGTCAAGAATTAATTTAAAAATCTTTCAAATCACTTTCAAAATCAGACAATATCATAAAGATTTAAGGCCACATGAATTTATTGGGTTATGAGAGAAAAAAGTTAAAAACTGAGCTGCGAATATTTGAAATTTTTAACTTTCATTTAAACTGGAAATAGATTTTTCTATTGATATATTGATCTATTGATTTTTCTGTTGATTTGTCTGTCATGTATGTATGTATGTATGTGTGTATCTGTCTATCTATCTATCTATCTATCTATCTATCTATCTATCTACCTATCTGACCATCTCTAAGGCACAGCTGACTTATCCTGGTTTGAAAATCTTTTCTAAAAAGGAAACCATCAAGTATTTCCATAGCCTCCAAGCCTAAATTTGCCAGTGACCACCTGACCCATGTAATTTCTCTGAGCCTAATAAGACTGGTTCTTTGAATCAACCTAGTCAGACAAAATTAAGAGAAAATAACTTTAAAAAATACAGAAAAGCACCAAGAATTATGGAATTTTGTAATGAGACTGTATTTATGACACCTGGAATTCCCAAAAGAGAAGGAGAGTAACTAGAAAAAAAAAAAGAATAAACCAACCCCAAAGCTAGCATAAGCAATTAAGTAACTAAAATTAGAGAAGAACTTAAAACTGAGATGAATATTCCATTAAAAAAGAAATGAAACCAAGAGTTGTTTCTTCAAAAAATTAACAAGGTTGATAGACTGCTAGCTAGATTAACAAAAAAGAGAATAAGTAAATACAATTTTAAATTACAAAGATAACATCACAGCTGATCCCACAGAAATGCAAAAGAGCCACATAGAGATAATGTGAACAACACCGTGAACACAAATTTGAGAATCTAGAAGAAAGGGATACATTCCTGGAGACACACAGTCTCTCAACACTGAATAAAGAAGAGACTGAATCCCTAAATAGGCCATGTTTAAGTCCTTCAATATAATCAGTAATTTAAAAAATCTGCCAACCACGAAAGCTCTGGACCAGGTGAATTCACAGGCAAATTCTATTGGACATATAAAAAAGAACTGGTATCAATCTTACTGAAACTATTCCAAAAAACAGAAGAGGAGAGACTCCTCCCTAACTCATTCTATGAAGCCAGCATCAGTCTAATACCAAAATCTGGCAGAGACATGATAAAAAAAGAAGACTTCAGGCCAATATCCCTGGTGAACATAGATGAAAAAATTCTCACTGAATTATAGCAAACCAAAGCTGGCAGCACATCAAAAAATTAATTCACCATAATTAAATACACTTTATTACTGGTCTAATGGTCCAACATATGCAAATCAATAAATGTGATTCAACACATGAACAGAATTAAAAGCAAAAACCATATGATAATCTCCACAGTCACAGATAAAGCCTTTGATAAAGTCCAACATCCCTTCTTAATAAAAACCCTCAAGAGACTAGGCATTGAAGGAGTATACCTCCAATAATAAGAATCATCTATGACAAAAATATAGCCAATATCACATGAAATGGGCAAAAGCTGGAACCATTTTCCTTGAGAAATGGAGAAAGACAAGGATACCCACACTTGCCACTTCTATTCAACATAGTACTGAAAGTCCTAGCCAGAGAAATCATGCAAGATAAATAAATAAAAGACATCCAAGTAGGAAAAGATCAAACTACCTCTCTTCACTGATGATGATTCTATAGTTAGAAAATCCTAAAATCTCCACCAAAGGCTACTAGAAATGATAAATGATTTTACCAAGGTTTCAGGACACCAAATCAATGTACAAAAATCAGTAGCATTTCTATGCACTAATAATGTCCAGGCTGAAAGTCAAATTGAAAACACAATCCTATTACAATTTTTGGTCAAAATGAAAATGAAATACCTAGGAATACAGCTAACAAAGGAGGTGAAAGATCTACAAGAAGAACTACAAAATACTGCCAAAATAAATGGAAAAACATTCCATGTGCATGGATTGGAAGAGTCAATATCATTAAAATGACCCTACTACCTAAAGTATTTGAGAAATCCAATGCTTTTCCTATCACACTATCAACATCATTCTTCAAAGAATTAGAAAAAAGTATTTTAAAATTCATATGGAAACAAATATGAGCCTTAATAGACAAAGCAATCCTAAATAAACAGAACAAAGCTGGAGACACCGCACTACCCGACTTTAAGCTATATTATAAGGTTACCAAAATAACTTTCATCTTAAACATAAGTTCCAATTCCATTCCACATCTTTGTGAATTTATAAAACTGAAAGCTTTTAAGAGCACCCAAGTCATCTCTTGAATGTCTTGCTGCTTGGAATTTTCTTCTACCAGATACCCTAAATCATCTCTCTCAATTTCAAAGTTCCACAGATATCTAGGGCAGGGGCAAAAAGCTACCAGTGTCTTTGCTAAAACAAAGAGTGACCTTTACTCCCAACAAGTTTCTCATCTCCCTCTGAGACCACCTCAGCCTGGACTTCATTGTCAATATCACTATCCCCATTTTGGTCAAAACCATTCAACAAGTATCTAGAAGTTTCAACTATCCCATATCTTTCTGTCTTCTTCTGTGTCCTCTATACTGTTCCAACCTCTGCCTATTACCCAGTTCCAAAGTCACTTTCACATTATGGGGTATCTTTATAGCAGCACCCCACTCTCTGTGGTACCAATTTACTGTATTAATCCATTTTCACACTGCTATGAAGAAATACCCAAGATTGGGTAATTTATAAAGAAAAGAGGTTTAATTGATTCACAGTCCTGCATGGCTGGAGACCCCTCAGGAAACTTACAATCATGACATAAGGCACCTCTTCACAGGGCAGCAGGAGAGATAATGAGTGCCAGTAAGCAGAGGAAATGCCAGATGGAATATAAAACCATCAGATCTTGTGAGAACTCACTCACTATCATGAGAACAGCAGAGGGGAAACTGCCCCCCTGATTCAATTACCTCCACCTGGTCTTGCCCTTGACACATGGGTATTATTATAATTCAAGGTGAGATTTGGGTGGGAACACAGGGCCAAATCATATCACTATGCATCTGACAAAAGTCTAATATCCAGAATCTATAAGGAACTTAAACAATTCAAAAAGGAAGAAAACAAATAACCTTTATTAAAAAGTGGACAAAGAACATGGATAGAGACTTCTCAAAAGAAGACGTACAAGGGGACAAGAAACATGTTGAAAAATGTTCAACATCATTCATCATCAGAGAAATGCAAATCAAAACCACAATGAAATACCATCTCACACCAGTCAGAGTGGCCAGTTTTAAGTGAAAAAACTATAGATGTTGGCAAGGCTGCAGATAAGAGAATGGTTATAAAATATTGGTGGGATCGTAAAATTGTTCAGCCACTATGGAAAGCAGTTTGGAGAGTTCTCAAAAAACCTTAAAACAGAACTACCATTTGACACAGCAATCCCATTACTGGGTATATAGCTAAAAGAAAATTAAGCATTCTACCAAAAGGTACCTAGACATGTCCATCACAGCACTATTTACAATGGGAAAGACATGGAATCAACCTAGGTGCCCATCAATGGTTGATTGATAAAGAAAATATGGAACATACACAGTATGGAATACTACACGGCCATATAAAAGAATTAAATCATATCCTTTGGAGAACATGGATGGAGTTGGAGGCCATAATTCTAAGCAAATTAATGCAGGGCAGAAATCCAAATATCATATGTTCTCACTTATAAGTGGGAGCCAAACATTGGGTACACATGGACATAAACATGGGAACAATAGACACTGCAGACTACTTTGGGAGAGAGAGAAAAGGAGATGTGGGTTGAAAAACTATATACTGGGTACTATGCTCACTATAGAATATACCAGTGTAAGAAACCTGCACATGTATCCATGTATCTAAAAATAAAAATTGAATTAAAAAAAGAAAAAATCATGTGTGGGCAATAATATAGAGAAATTAGAACTCTTGTACAATGTTGGTGGTAATAGCAGTATGGATATTCCTTTTAAAATTAAAAATAGAGCTACCATACGATCCAGCAATTCTACTTCTAAGTATTTATCTAAAAGAATTAAAATTAGAATCTGGAAGATATATTAGCACTTCTAGGTTAATTGCCATACTATTCATAATAGCCAAGATGTGAAACAACCTTCATTGTCCATAGACAGAAGAATGGAGTAAAAAAGATGTGGTATATACATACGATGGAATACTATTTAGACTTACAAACAAAGAAGGAAAGTCCTCAATGTGCAGCAGCATCAATGAATCTTGAGGGCATTACGCTAAGTAAAATAAGCCGGTCACTGAATGACAAATACTGCGTGATCTCACTCCTGTGAATATCCAAAATCATCAAATTTATAGAATCCAAGAGAAGAAGAATGGTAATTACCAGAGGTTGAGGGTGGAGGGACAAACAGAAAATTGGTAGTAAATTGTCATAAATTTTCAGTTAAGTAAGATATATTAACTCTAGAGATCTGCTATTGTACAACATTACACCAGTAGTAAAAATTACTTAAATACACCAGTAGTAAAAAAAACTTAAAATTTATTAAAATTGAATATCTTATGCCAAATGTTCTCATTAAAATAAAAAAAGTCATTATACAGAAACAAAATAATCAGTTCCACAGCAAGTGTGCACACACACTCACCCACCCACCCACCCATACACAAATAAACTATTTCATTCACAATACCATTTATAAGTTAAAATGTGTAGGGAGAAATTTAACAAAAAAAGTGCATGATCCATATACAGAAAACTATAAAATACCTGTGTTAAAGATTAAAGAAAATGTAAATACATTGAAAAATATCATATTTATTGATCAACACAATCCTCAATATATCATCAGGCTTTTTTCTTTACAAGTTGAAAGTGACTCAAATTTTTTTGGATATGTAAATAAGTAGAATAATTAAAACAATCCTAATACAAATTATAAATTTGAATACAAAGAAAGTTGGAAGTCTCCTATTACTTAATTTTAGATCTTATTCTTAAACTATAGTATTACTGAACCAAACTTGGGACCATTTGTCTAGTGCAGCAAAGCCAAACACTGACACCAAAATATGCAGAGAGAAAGGCATTTATTGCAAAGCACCAAGGAAGGAGAATGGGCAGCTAACAGCAACAATCCAAACTCTTGCTTATAAGCAAGAGTTTTTGAAGGCAAGGGCAAGGGTGTCTCCAAAGTAAGTTAAGTGCTGGGAAATTTCTTGAACTTCTTTATCTATTTTGGTTTCAGTCTATCTGAGGTCTACATGAGAGTGTTTGGCATTTTCCATTGAGTGGGGATCCTGATTTCTGGAAAACAACTCAAGGACATATGTCAAGATATTTATTTTCTATAAGCAAGCGAACATCTTGTGACTCTAACCTACTGGAATGACTATTTAAACTACTATTATCTTCTTGCTTAGCAGGTTATTCATTCATTTCCCTAATTTTTGGTTGAAGGGCTAGCTAAGTGCCTGGTATTTCCCTTGAAAGGAAAAATTCAAATTTTTCTTTTTTCTCTATGTTCAGTGTGGGTTAGTGGGCAGCAGGTCCCTGCTTCATCTCAATCCTAATTAAGATATTCAATTTACCCTGTTGAAACTCCATCTTAGACATGCCAGCCAACAGGACTTTATCTATACAGTGAACTTTTTGGACATGGAGGGTAGAGGCACTCATGTAAAATTTTTAACTATCCATGGGTGTAAAATAGTACCTTAGGGAATTTAAGAGAGTATACATTGGAGAATTTGTGACATAAACATGAATTGCTCATGGTCCTCAGATGCCAGTGAGATAGAAATGAATGTGTTGGCAAGTTCCAGCAAAATACAGTAAATATTGATAAGACAGGAGACAGACAAATTCTTAGGC